>NT_187680.1:0-229282 GCF_000001405.40 Homo sapiens
TTATGCTTTCACCTTCATCAGTGCAGCTAAGGAGATTCTGACTAGAATGGAGGTCTTCCAAATTGCTTTTTTCTAATGGGCTGATTATACCCATAATCTATGCATAGTTTAACCCCTGCCTCTGGAAAGTCCTAGCGGGAGGGGCAAGGATCCCACAGACACTGGCTTATTGCCTGTTTCCCTAAAAACATTACAGGATGCTTTCTTAAAAACATCCTACTTCCAAAGGGCAGTTTGAGAATCTCCTAATTTTAGGCAGCAAAGCCTTATCCCAAATACTGGTCTCTTTGCAGAAATCCATTGCCCGTTCATCTATAGGAACTATTTAATTTCAGGAAATAACTTTCTTAGGAGATTTTTATAGATTTGCTTCTCAGGAAAAATAACTTTGCCTATAGTGGTCTGCCAGCTTCAGGGGGATGGTCTTGAAAAAGGAAAATGGTGATCTGGGGTGAGGCCAGAGAGGAACTGGCTCTTGGGTGGATTTATACATTTTCAGTTGTTTTCTAATTCATTAACTTCTGCTTTTATTGCTATTTCTTCTTTTGTTTTCTTAGACCTATTTGTTGTTTCATTCTTTATCTGAAAGTATATTTACTAATAAAAGTATATAAGGCTATGAATGTTTCTAAGAATATATCTTAGCTACATCACACATATATTGATAGATGATGCTTTTATAGTCACTGTTATCTAAATACTCAGCAATTTTGACTTTGATTTCCACTTTGACTCAAGGGGTGAATGAATGAAATGAAGGAGAGATAGGGTTACTATTAAAAATATAGCTACTATTAATTATTTTTCTTTCTTTAAATTACTTTTTCAAATTTTTATAATGTGTAAAATTATTTAATAGTGGCCATTTTCTCTTTTCAGGCCCTGCTTTTGGTAGGGAGTTCGGTTGAGAGACATAAATAAAATACCATGATTTTTTTCCATTTCTAATTATATGAAGTCTTAACTTTCCAAAACAGTTAAGTCATTCATGATAACACTCAGAGCCACAAAATGCATTTACTAGCTCTTCACTATACCAATGAGCTACTTTTCTGAGTTTTCCTGTAACTGTGACACGTGCATTCCTGCCCCATAACCAAGGGCCTTACCTGAGTTCATCACGTGACTCCTAATAGAGTTCTGGTAGCACAATAGAAAAATAATTTTTCACATTCGCACGATGAAGAGTGTTCAGAACAACCATTCCTTAAATATGAGTCACTCTCTTTACTGTCATAGCCTTCAGAATGTCTAACAGCAGCAGCACGGATAGTTCAGCTAAATACTTCTGTATTTTTAGCTGAAAAAATTCATGCAAGGCTTTCTGTTCATGTCTCTTAATCTAATGGCTATTGAAGGTGCGACCTTCGAGATTCCAGAGAATGTACTGAATGAAGAGAACAGAGCAAAAAAGAGTCCAATCTGTAAGATCTGAGGACACAGTTAAGTGGAATCACACCATTAGTAGAACCCGGTGCTAACCTTGAAGCAGCAGCGAGTTTTACTAAACAGCTCATCTTATATGTAATTCTCCCCAATAGTAAAGACAATGTGTTCTATGAGTTCATTGTCTTCTTTGGCGTATGATGCCTAATTTATGAATTTTTTCATTTATTCATTCGGTAAGTAAATATGTATTAAGGACTGAATAGATAAATAAAATAATTGTCAAGTAAATAATATGTGTACAGACTGTTAAAACATTAACAGTGTTTAACAGGGTGCTGTGGCTCAGGCCTGTAATCCCACAACTTTGGGAGGCTGAGGCAGGTGGATCACTTGAGGTCAGCAGTTCAAGACCAGTCTGGCCAACATGGTGAAAGCTGTCTTTACTAAAAAAAAAAAAAAAAAAAAAAAAGGAAAAAAAATTAGCTGAGCATGGTAGTACATGCCTGTAATCCCAGCTACTCAGAAGGCTGGAGCAGGAGAATCCCTTGACCCCGGGAGGTGGAGGTTGCATTGAGCCGAGATCACGCCACTGCACTCCAACCTGGGCGACAGAGTGTGACTTCATCTCAAGTTTGGAGGGAAATCTGCCTTACTCAAAATCTGCCAATGTGAGCATTAATCTCTTGTAAAACACACCTTCACATTCAGGTATTTGAGCAAATGCCATGGTACCATATCCTAGTTGACACACACAAACTATCACACACAGCAATGAAAACTAATAATGTATGAATGCACAGTAATCCCAATGGTGGTTATCTCTGGGTTTGTGGTTGAATTGTATTTTCTTTTAAATATTTTCCAAATTTTCTGCAAAAAGCATGTAGCACTAAAATAAGAAAAGATAACTGAAAAACATTAGTTTCGTTGTCTTCTAGGCCCCCTAGCAACCTATAAGTACAGTTTTTCCAATAGTAACACTGCATTTAAAAACAAATTATCCTTGTATTGCAGTTACCATAGTAATAAATTTGTCATCAACAGCTTTATTTTACTTTTCAGCTATGAGTGGAACAATAATTCTGTGTGTTTCAAAGCCTCAGAAATGAAACTTATTCCTTGCATGTTGCCACATTTTGTGTCTCCAAGGTAATTTTTTTTGAGGTAGGGTCTTGCTGTGTTGCCCAGGCTGGAGTGCAGTGGGAGGATCACAGCTCCCTGCAGCCTCAACCTCCCCAGGCTCTAATCCTCTCACCGCAGCCTCCCCAGTATCTGGGACTACAGGCTTGCGCCACCATGCCCAGCTAATTTTTGTTTTTGTTTTTGTTATTGTTTGTAGAGATGGGGTTTCATCACGTAGCCCAGGCTGGTCTCAAACTCCTGGGCTCAAGCAATCCACCCGCCCAAGGCTGTTTTTAAAGAAGATGTACAGTAAGGGAATACGTAGAGACAGAACCACATTACAGGGAGTGGTTGGGGTTTGCTGTTAGCACCGGGGAATCCCTTGCCTTGATGGAGGGTGAGGAATGCGCATTTGAGTATTGCTAGAAGCTTTCTGAGGTCACTTCTGACCCCGCAACACCATTTACATTTGGGGGATGGACTGTACTAGTTTCTGGGGCTGCCATAACAAAGTACCACACACAGCGTGGCTTAAAACAATAGAAATTTACCCTCTCCAGTTCTGGGAGCCAGAAGTCTGAAATCAAGGTGTGGGCAAGGCCTCGCTCCCTGCACGTCTCTAGGGGAGGATCCCTCCTTCCGCCTCAGTGTCCGTGGCTGTGGGTGCATCACTCCACCCTCGGCCTCTGCCTCCCAGGACCTTCCCCATCTTCGTCCCTTCTCCTCTTCTCATAAGAGCACTGTCATCCTCGGAGCCCACTCCGGTGACCTCATCTCAACTCATTTCGTCTGCAGTGACCCTATTTCCAAGCGAGGTCATGTTCTGAGGCACTGGGGGTGAGGATCTCCATGGACCTCTTCTACAGGGAGACACAGTTCAGGCCGTACCAGAAGCAATCGCGTCGCCAGGATAATGAAGTATGCATAAAATGGCACCCCTCTATCTTGGTAATTATCAGACACTGTTTCTGAAACTTATTTCCATCTCCGTGTTGGCTTTTCTCTTCCGGAATGTATGGTCAAATATAGGATGTCATTTCTCCAGCTGGGTGACCATGGTGATTTTGCTGCTGACTACTGGAAGGGAAGCACGGATTACTCAGCTGAAACCTGATTTCCTTTCCTCAGTTATCTGTCTTCAAATCAGTTTAGCGATTGTTGGTGATTCTTCATGAAGAGCAGTAACTTTAGCTGGCTAAAATAAAGAGAAATGTGTACTCCACACTCTCAAATTCCACTTTAATTTCATGATTAACTGAGTTTGTAGTTCTAAGAAATTGGTTGCTCAAAATCTTGTTCTGTCCTATTCACTTGAAAATGGGAATCCCACCTCTGTGCTCCTGGGTCCTGAGGGACATTCCTTCCTCCCCATCCCGTTCGGAGGCTCCCTCTGGTCCAGAGCAGACAGCCCCTTGCATCCCTGAGCCCCACCCCTGGCAGAGGCCTTCACTGTCAATGTCATTACCAGGGACTGGTGGATCTCTATCCCTTAACCATTCTTTAAGCCACCTTAAAGAAGCCATCTTCAATGGTGTTGGAGGACCAAGCAAAACATATGTGCTTCTAGTCTTGGGATAATTAAGGAAGCTCAAAACATGAGGATGTAGATATGAAAACATCTTACACATTCTTGCCCTTCCGTGCTCGGGACCCAACCCCATGCCGGCAGCTGCAGAACTGGGTGCACTCAATCTCAGGTGCAGCCCATGAAGACACCAGCCCTTAGCCCTGTCCAGACAGACCTGATGTCTTTTAACCTTCAGTCTGTTTTCCTATTCAAAGTTCTGTTCTTCCCTTCCCTCTGCAAAGCCCAAACATTAATTTCTAGGGAATTACAGGGAAGGGAGGTTAGAGCATGGGGGTCACTCACACCCCCTCCCCCTCCCTCTTCCTAACGCTGGCTCCATGTGGGCCAGGTGGGAAGGAGGATGGAGGAGAAAGAAGGCTCTTGACTGAGCAAAAAGAAAGGGCCCTCCTGGTCTCTGGTCACTGCTTCTCTAAGACTGGACGTTGGACTGGGCATTTTTCAATTCTTTTGAGTTTCCTGATGGGGTCTTCCCCTCCTTTCTTTTCTAACATGGAGAGATGGCTCAGCCTCCCCTTTCCTGCCTAACCCCCTCCTCCCACTCCACCTCCACTGTTCACCCCTGCAGCCTATTTGTGGGGTACGTTTCTTTGGGACTCACTGTGGGTAAAATGACCCACACCCGATACTTGTCACACATCTACTTGACCTGCAGGAAATATGCGTGTGATTGCTCTACCCAAAGGCATGTGTGCAGCCAGTTTACACCCCACACACCCGCATATCTCCTGGCCCCACATCACACCCAACTGCATCCTGGATCTCCAGCGGGAGGCCCTCACCCATCCCCAGCAGAGGGAAACCCTGCTGCCCTTCACGTTTGTGGATTCTGAAGCCCTCGCTTGGCCTCTGCGTCAATAATTCTGACATGAACTACAAACTCCCACGGACTCCCAGGGAGGTTCCTCCCACCCGGGGCGGTGGATGGAGGAGGAGCGGAGGGAGGAGGTGGCATGCAGACAGGCCTTGGAAATCCGAGCACATTTTCCAGGATCTAGCTTCATGCCTCCTGCCACACGATTCTGCTGGGAGCTGGGGCAGTGAGTATCCAGTCTCATTTATCCCTTATCCACCATGGCCCTTGTTGGGCCCAGACACACAAACAGCTGCGATGGGTGCAGAGCAAGGTGCCCCAGCACACGCCCGCCCAGGCTTACCTAACGGGGCCATCTCCTGGCCGCAGCTCTCCATGGTTCCCCACTGCCAGTTTAGTCCAGTTCACATTTACCAAGATCCTTCACAAAATACGCCCCCATCGGCTGTTTCTTATTAGTCTAAGGTTGATTATGTTCGATTATGTTCAGTAAAAATCTTTAATTATGAAAACTCTGAAAATCTTCACATACTATTTTTTATCCCTTTCTAACATCTTTATATTGACGATTGGCCTGACGTGTGCCTCTGGCCCCCTTGACTTTACCCCTGTGTTTCTGCTTGGAAAGGGCTCCCTGAAGTGCAAATATGGTCCTGTTGCACATTTGCCCCCTGAAGCTCTGGAAAGCGGTCCCCAAATCCCATCCGGATGTAACTGGAAGGAAATTCCAACATCCTCCTAGTCCAGCCGAGGGGGTTCCCACCACGGATTTCCTTTTCAGGGCTCCCATTGCATTACTGGACAACTTCTAACTATTGAAAATTTTCCATTGGGAGAATTCTCCGTGTGTCATTTTTCTGTAGTTCCATTTAATGCAGTGATAGTTATTTTTTATCTTCTGTGTTTTCTCTACTTCCTGATTAAATTATGACCTCCTCAAATGGAAGGGCAATATAAACTCATTTCTTTTTATTATCCCACAGTAATTGTCAGGCTCAGACTTCTCTGTGAGCATCACCGACTGACCAGGGTACCGCTGGCTGGGATGTTACATGGAGCAGTTACACTAGCATTTTAGTTTCAAATGGATGCAGATTCAGCAAACACTTTGATTATCTAAAATCACAGCAGGATGATAGATTTTACTGTCTACTGATCCTTACATTTATATTATGAAGTACTCAAATTATTTATTAATTCAGCATTTGTGATTATACATTGCAATAGTAAAAATCTTTTGGGGAGTGATTTCAACAAGATAATGGAGTAGGAAGGTCTGGGCCCTCCTTCCCCTCAACAAACACAGCCGTTCAACAATGATTTGTGGACAAATTCCCTTTACAAAAATTTAGACACTAGGCCTGGCGCGGTGGCTCACTCCTGTAATCCCAGCACTTTAGGAGACCAAGGCGGGTGGATCATGAGGTCAGGAGATTGAGACCATCCTGGGTAACACGGTGCAACCCCGTCTCTACTAAAAATACAAAACAATTAGCTGGGCGTGGTGGCGGGCGCCTGTAGTCCCAGCTACTCAGGAGGCTGAGGCAGGAGAATCACGTGAACCCAGGAGGCGGAGCTTGCAGTGAGCCGAGATCGCGCCACTGCACTCCAGCCTGGGCGACAAGGCAAGACTCCGTCTCAAAAATAATAATAATAATAAAATAAAAATAAATAAATAAATAAATGACACTAATTGAAAATCTCCTGCACCTTGGGAAAATACAAAACCAGACTTACCAAAGATGCTCGGGAGATTCTCTCAAGAATTCCTACCCTGGCACAGCACCCTACAATCAGGAAGAGACCCCCTGGCTTCTACCTTCTCCCAGGGGAGGGAAGGATCAGTTAGCACATCCAGCACCCCAACTTTTCCAAGAGAGCTCCCAGAGGTCTGGCCTCTGACCTGCAAGCATTGGGCCTGCTGGAGTCTGGCCCACTCTGGTTGCCTGGGGGAGAATGAAGACAGTGGCATGGCTGGTAGATGCCGTAGATCCTCTCCCTCCTCAGCACAGAATAAGCAAACAAGAACTCCATCTCTCAGCTTCCCACTGAAGAGGAAAGAGGTGATCCATGCATCCCACACCTCAGCTTCTTCAGGGTTGCACAGAGAACTGGCATCTACCTTCCAAGCCTTCCAGTCTTGGAGCTCTGTTGGGTCCAGCAGTCCAGCCACATAGGGGAGGACAGAGATGACAGCTTAGACTAGTAGATGCCATGGTGTTCTTCCCTGATTCAGGCAGAGCAAACAGGCGAAAACCACAGCTACCTTCTTCTCTCTGGGAAGGGAAAGAATTGGCTGAGACCCTCAGAATCTCTGAATGATTGGTGGGGGTCTTCTCATGTATAAGACAAGGTCATGAAGACTGAGAAAGGCACCAGTGCGGAAAGTCAAGGAAAATGAAAACTCAGGCAAAGATATTTCAAAGAAATAAAACAAATCTCCAGAAACTGACCCTAGTGAAATGAAGTTATATGATTTATTCGACAGAGAATTCAAAACAAGGGATATGAAGATGCCCCCTAAGGTCAAGAGAACAATGAAGGAACAAAATGAGAATTTCAGTAAAGTGACAGGACATATTTTTTAAATATGTGCCAAACAGAAATTATGGAGCTGAAGAACATAATTGACCTGAAAATTTTACTGGAAAGATTCAACAACAGACCAGATCAAACAGAAGAAAGCATCGGTGAACTCAAAGACAACATCGTTACAAATAATTCAATCAGGACAGCAAAAAATAGCAATAAAAAGAGTGAAGAAAGCTTACAGAACTTACGGGAAATCACCAAACAGATGGGGTTTCACCATGTTGGCCAGGCTGATCCTGAACTCCTGACCTCAGGTGATCTGCCCACCTCGGCCTCCCAAAGTGCTGGGATTACAGTTGTGAGCCACCGCGCCCGGCCAGGTCGCACTCTCTTATAATGACTAATAGAACTAGAGTTTAACTGCCAAAAATATAGTTTTTTTAAAAAAAAGTTAAACATTTTAAAAGTCGAACACTCATTCCTGCCCCTGCTCTTTCTCTGTGCTCTACCTCCTGCCAGCCATGCCCCCTGGGCACAGCCAATTCTGTCCCACCTCTGACTTCTTCCTGCCACTCACTCGGGTCTCCAGCTGTCAGCAGGACCATCGTGGGGTCACTCCACTAACTGGCCTCCCGCTTCCCATCTTGAATCCATACACACTGTCCTCCACACAACAGCTCCTGGGGTTTCTTTTTTTTTCTTTTTTTCTTTTTTGAGACAAGATCTTGCTCTGTCACCCAGGCTGGAGTGCAGGGCGTCATCTCAGCCCACTGCAGCCTCAACCTCCCGGGTGCAAGCGATTCTCCCACCTCAACCTCCCGAGTGGCTGGTATTACAGGCATCTGCCATCACACCTGGCTAATTTTTGTATTTTTAGGAGAGACAGGGTTTTGCCATGTTTCCCAGGTTTTACGGGGTTTTTTTAAATATATATAAACTTTTTATTGACAAATAACATAAATAACATACAAAAGAGAAGAAACAATTGGTTCCCACCTCAAAAATCCTCCCAAATACTGAAGTCAAGAAATAGGTCGGCCGGGCGCGGTGGCTCACGCCTGTAATCCCAGCACTTTGGGAGGCCGAGGCGGGTGGATCATGAGGTCAGGAGATCGAGACCATCCTGGCTAACAAGGTGAAACCCCGTCTCTACTAAAAATACAAAAAAAAAATTAGCCGGGCACGGTGGCGGGCGCCTGTAGTCCCAGCTACTCGGGAGGCTGAGGCAGGAGAATGGCGTGAACCCGGGAAGCGGAGCTTGCAGTGAGCCGAGATTGCGCCACTGCAGTCCGCAGTCCCGCCTGGGCGACAGAGCGAGACTCCGTCTCAAAAAAAAAAAAAAAGAAAGAAATAGGTCATTCCGGAAGCCCCCAGCGAGCTCCCCACCCAGTTACTCCCTTCTTCCCAAATTCACCACTACCCTGCCTATTATTATTTTTTAACTATAAATATTTATTTAGTAGTCTGAACTAAGTGCTAAATGAAATTGAAATGTATTTTATTCTTTTTTTAATAGTAATTTTTTTTTAATTTTATTATTATTATACTTTTAGGGTACATGTGCACAACGGGCAGGTTTGTTACATATGTATACATGTGCCATGTTGGTGTGCTGTACCCATTAACTCGTCATTTAGCATTAGGTGTAACCCCTAATGCTATCCCTCCCCTAGCTCCCCACCCCCCAACAGGCCCCTGTGTGTGATATTCCCTTCCCTGTGTCCATGGGTTCTCATCGTTCATCTCCCACTTATGAGTGGCAACATGCGGTATTTGGTTTTCTGTTCCTGTGTTAGTTTGCTGAGAATGATGGTTTCCAGCTTCATCCATGTCCCTGCAAAGAACATGAACTCATCCTTTTTTATGGCTGCATAGTATTCCATGGTGTATATGTGCCACATTTTCTTTATGCAGTTTATCATTGATGGTCATTTGGGTTGGTTCCAAGTCTTTGCTATTGTGAATAGTGCTGCAATAAACATACATGTGCATGTGTCTTTATAGTAGAATGATTTGTAATCCTTTGGGTATATACCCAGTAATGGGATTGCTGGGTCAAATTGTATTTCCAGTTCTAGATCCTTGAGGAATCACCACACGGTCTTCCAGAATGGTTGAACTAACTTATACTCCCACCAACAGTGTAAAAGCGTTCCTATTTTTCCTTATCATCTCCAACATCTGTTGTTTCCTGGCTTTTTAATGATCGTCATTCTAACTGGCATCAGATGGTATCTCATTATGGTTTTGATTTGCAGTTCTCTAATGACCAGTGATGATGAGCTTTTTTTCATATGTTTGTTGGCCTCATAAATGTCTTCTTCTGAGAAATGCCTGTTCATATCCTTCACCCACTTTATGATTGGGTTGTTAGGTTTTTTTTTCTTGTAAATTTGTTAAAGTTCCTTGTAGATTCTGGATATTAGCCCTTTGTCAGATAGATAGATTACAAACATTTTCTCCCATTCTGTAGGTTGCCTGATAGTTTCATTTGCTGTGCAGAAGTTATTTACTTTCATTAGATCCCATTTGTCAATTCTGGCTTTTGTTGCCATTGCTCTTGGTGTTTTAGTCATGAAGTCTTTACCAGTGCCTGTGTCCTGAATGGTATTGCCTAGGTTTTCTTCTAGGCTTTTTATGGTTTTAGGTCTTATGTTTAAGTCTTTTATCCATCTTGAGTTAATTTTAGTATAAGGTGTAAGGAAGGAGTCCAGTTTCAGTTTTCTGCATATAGCTAGCCAGTTTTCCCAACAGCATTTATTAAATATGGAATCCTTTCCCCATTGTTTGTTTTTGTCAGGTTTGTCAAAGATCAGATGGTCGTAGATGTGTGGTGGTATTTCTGATGCCTCTGTTCTGTTCCATTGGCCTATGTATCTGTTTTGATACTAGTACCATCCTGTTTGGTTACTGTGGCCTTGTAGTATAGTTTGAAGTCAGCTGGTGTTCTTTGTCAGCTTTGTTCTTTTTGCTTAGGATTGTCTTGGCTATATGGACTCTTTTTTGATTCCATATGAAATTTAAAGTAGTTTTTTTTTTTTTCCTAATTCTGTGAAGAAAGTCAATGGGAGCTTGATGGGGATAGCATGGAATCTATAAATTACTTTGGGCAGTATGGCCATTTTCACAATATTGGTTCTTCCTATCCATGATCATGGAATGTTTTTCCATTTATTTGTGTCTTCTCTTATTTCCTTGAGTGGTGGTTTGTAGTTCTCCTTGAAGAGGTCCTTCACATCCCTTGTAAGTTGGATTCCTAGGTATTTTATTCTCTTTGTAGCAATTGTGAATGAGAGTTCACTCATGATTTGGCTCTCTGTTTGTCTGTTATTGGTGTATAGGAATGCTTGTGATTTTTGCACATTGATTTTGTATCCCGAGACTTTGCTAAAGTTGCTTATCGGCTTAAGGAGATTTAGGGCTGAGACAATGGGGTTTTCTACATATACAATCATGTCATCTGCAAACAGAGAGAATTTGACTTCCTCTTTTCCTATTTGAATACCTTTTATTTCTTTCTCTTGTCTGATTGTCCTGACCAGAACATCCATCACTATGTTGAATAGGAATGGTGAGACAGGGCATCCCTGTCTTGTGCCAGTTTTCAAAGGGAATGCTTCCAGTTTTTGCCCATTCAGTATGATATTGGCTGTGGGTTTGTCATAAATAGCTCTTATCGAGATACTTCACATCAATACCTAGTTTATTGAGAGCTTTTAGCATGAAGCAGTGTCGAATTTTATTGCAGGCCTTCTCTACATCTATTGAGATAATCATGTGGTTTTTGTCATTGGTTCTGTTTATGTGATAGATTATGTTTACTGATTTGCATATGTTGAACCAGCCTTGCATCCCAGGGATGAAGCCGACTTGATCGTGGTGGATAAACTTTTTGATGTGCTGCTGTATTCAGTTTGCCAGTATTTTATTGAGGATTTCTGCATCCATGTTCATCAGGGATATAGGCCTGAAGTTTTCTGTTTTTGTTGTGTCTCTGCCAGGTTCTGGTATCAGGATGATGCTGGCCTCATAAAATGAGTTAGAGAGGAGTCCGTCTTTTTCTATTGTTTGGAATAATTTCAGAAGGAATGGTACCAGCTCCTCTTTGTACCTCTGGTAGAATTTGGCTGTGAATCCATCTGATCCTGGGCTTTTTTTTGTTGGTAGGCTATTAATTACTGCCTCAATTTCAGAACTTGTTATTGGTGTATTCAGGGATTTGACTTATTCCTCATTTAGTCTTGGGAGGGTGTATGTTTCCAGGAATGTATCAGTTTCTTCTAGATTTTCTAGTTTATTTGTGTAGAGGTGTTTATAGTGTTCTCTGATTGTAGTTTGTATTTCTGTGGGATCAGTGGTGATCTCCCCTTTATCATTTTTTATTGTGTCTATTTGATTGTTCTCTGTTTTCTTCTTTAATAGTCTGGGTAGTGGTCTATCTATTTTGTTAATCTTTTCAAAAAACCAGCTTCTAGATTCATTGATTTTTTTTGAAGGGTTTTTCATGTCTCTATCTCCTTCAGTTCTTCTCTAATCTGAGTTATTTCTTGTCTTATCTTAGCTTTTGAATTTGTTTGCTCTTGCTTCTCTGGTTCTTTTAATTGTGATTTTAGGGTGTTGATTTTAGATCTTTCCCACTTTCTCCTGTGGGCATTTGGTGCTATAAATTTTGCTCTAAACACTGCTTTAGCTGTGTCCCAGAGATTCTGGTATGTTGTGTCTTTGTTCTTGTTGGTTCCAAAGAACTTATTTATTTTTCCCTTAATTTCGTTATTTACCCAGTAGTCATTCAGGAGCAAGTTGTTCAGTTTCCATGTAGTTGTGCAGTTTTGAGTGAGATTCTTAATCCTGAGTTCTAATTTGATTGCACTGTGGTCGGAGAGACTGTTATGATTTCCATCCTTTTGCATTTGCTGAGGAGTGTTTTACTCCCAATTATGTGGTCAGTTTTGGAATAAGTGTGATATGGTGCTGAGAAGAATGTATATTCTGTTGATTTAGGGTGGAGAGTTATGTAGATGTCAATTGGGTCTGCTTGGTCCAGAGCTGAATTGAAGTCCTGAATATCATTGTTAATTTTCTGTCTCATTGATCTAATATTGACAGTGAGGTGTGAAAGTCTCCCATTATTATTGTATGGGAGTCTAAGTCTCTTTGTAGGTCTCTAAGAACTTGATTTATGAATCTGGGTCCTCCTGTATTGGGTGCTCCTGTATTGAGTGCATATATATTTAGGATAGTTAGCTCTTCTTGTTGCGTTGATCCCTTTACGATTATGTGATGCTCTTCTTTGTCTTTTTAGATCGTTGTTGACTTAAAATTTGTCTTATCAGAGACTAGGATTGCAACTCCTGCTTTTTTTGCTTTCCGTTTGCTTGGTAAATATTCCTCCATCCCTTTATTTTGAGCCTGTGTGTGTCTTTGTACATGAGATGGGTCTCCTGAATACAGCACACTAATGGGCCTTGACTGTATCCAATTTGCCAGTTTGTGTCTTTTAACTGGGACATTTAGCCTGTTTACATTTAACATTAATATTGTTATATATGAATTTGATCCTGTCATTATGATGCTAGCCGGTTATTTTGCCCATTAATTGATGCAATTTCTTCATAGTGTCGATGGTCTTTACAATTTGGTATGTTTTTGCAGTGGCTGGTACCGGTTTTTGCTTTCCATGTTTAGTGGTTCCTTCAGGAGCTCTTGTAAGGCAGGCCTGGTGGTGATAATATCTCCCAGCATTTGCTTGTGTGTAAAGGATTTTATTTCTCCTTCACTTATGAAGCTTAGTTTGGCTGGATATGAAAATCTGGGTTGAAAATTCTTTTTTTTAAGAATGTTGAATATTGGCACCCACCCTCTTCTAGCTTTTAGCATGTCTGCAGAGATATCCACTGTTAGTCTAATGGGCTTCCCTTTGTGGGTAACCTGACCTTTCTCTCTGGCTGCCCTTATCATTTTTTCCTTCATTTCAACCTTGGTGAATCCGACGATTATGTGTCTTGGGGTTGCTCTTCTCAAGGAGTAACTTTGTGGTGTTCTCTGTATTTCCTGAATTTGATTGTTGGCCTTTCTTGCTAGGTTGGGGAAGTTCTCCTGGATTATATCCTGAAGAGTGTTTTCCAGCTTGGTTCCGTTCTCCCCGTCACTTTCAGGTACATTAATCTAATGTAGGATTGGTCTTTTCACATTGTCCCATATTTCTTGGAGGCTTTGTTTGTTCCTTTTTGTTCTTTTTTCTCCAATCTTGTCTTCACACTTTATTTTAATAAGGTGATGCTTCAATTTCTGATATCCTTTCTTCATTTGATTGATTCAGCTATTGATACTTGTGTATGCTTCACGAAGTTCTCATGCTGCGTTTTTCAGCTCCATCAGGTAATTTATGTTCTTCTCTAAACTGGTTATTCTAGTTAGCAATTCCTCTAACCTTTTTTCAAGGTTCTTAGCTTCCTTGTGTTGGGTTAGAACATACTCCTTTAGCTTGGAGGAGTTTATCACCCACTTTCTGAAACCTACTTCTATAATTTGCCAAACTCATTCTCTGTCCGGTTCTGTTCCCTTGCTGGTGAGGAGTTGTGATCGTTTGGAGGAGAAGAGGCTTTCTGGTTTTTGGAATTTTCAACCTTGTTGTGCTGGTTTTTCCTCATCTTCATGGATTTATCTATCTTTGTTCTTTGATGCTGGTGACTTTCGGATAGGGTTTTGGTGTAGACGTCCTTTTTATTGATGTTGATGCTATTACTTTCTGTTTGATAGTTTTCTTTCTAACCATCAGGCCCCTCTTCTCAGGTCTGCTGGAGTTTGCTAGAGGTCCACTCCAGACCCTGTTTGCCTGGGTATCACCAGTGGAGGTTGCCGAACAGCAAAGATTGCTGCCTGTTCCTTCCTCTGGAAGCTTCGTCCCAGAGGGACTCCTGCCAGATGCCAGCCGGAGCTCTCCTGTGTGATGTGTCTGTTGATCCCTGCTGGGAGATGTCTCCCCATCAGGAGACAAGAGGGTCAGGGGCCCACTTGAGGAGGCACTCTGTCCCTTAGCAGAGCTCGAGCGCTGTGCTGGGAGAGCTGCTGCTCTCTTCAGAGCCGAGAGGCAGAAACGTTTACGTCTGCTGAAGCTGCACCCACAGCCGCCCCTTCCCCCAGGTGCTCTGTCCCAGAGAGATGGGAGTTTTATCTATAAGCCCTGACTGGGGCTGCTGCCTTTCTTTCAGAGATGCCCTGCCCAGAGAGCAGTTTTACAGGCTTTTTACAGACAGCAGATCAGACCGAGTCCCTGAAAACTCCGTGACAGATGTTTGTCACATTGAAAGTAAAATGGAGCCTCTCCGCCTCGGCCCACAAACGTCTCCATTATGAGACCAAGCCTGGTCTGCTCGTTCACCACTCTGGTCTTTAATTTCCTCAAATGCTCAGAGCTCTCTCGTAGCTTAGGGTCTTTGGAGTTGCTGTTTCCTCTCCCTAAATGGTTCCTCTCAATCCTTGCATAATTAGTCATTGAGATATCAGCTTAAATAGCACCTGTTCAGTGAGACATTTTTTTCACCAGGCAATCTGAGGTAGCTATGTAGTCACTTTTGATCCTAAAACCTTAATTTAACAGGATGTGTGTGTGTGTGTGTGTGTGTGTGTGTGTGTGTGTGTGTGTGTGTGTGTGATCAGCCCGTGCTACCTTCTTGCTTGTGGGGGCCTCTATCCCTCACGAGCTGTCAGTCCTGCTGCCTGCTGCATCCCAGACTTGGGCCATGCAGGCTGCATTGAAGCACTCAGCCCACTCTTGTCAAATATGTGAATGAGAGAGTGAGTGAATGGATATGTTCTTAATGCCCAGCATCATTCACAACACATATTCGATATTAATGTTTGTTGAATGGCCCACTATGACAAGAGGAGTAAAAGTGTTTCTAGTAAACAGTGTAAGATAATGTTGTTATTTCTAATTAATGACATTCTAGTAGAAAGTGTAAGACAGTGTTGCTGTTTCTAATTAATGGTGTGCTCTGATGAATCGATGTCACTGAAATGGGGTCTTTCTTTAAAAATGCAGACATGCTTTACAGCCTGGCTGCTTCAAAGTTGGGCATTATTAAGAATCTCCAGCTTTAACAGTGAAAGGCCTATTCCACACAGGGAATATACTGATTCATGCAGCCATGTTGCCCAGAGCTAGCCAGGGCTGGAGGCCCGAATCCACGGAGGCCGGGCCAGGCCACCCCAGCATCAGGCCTCAGGCCTGCCCACCTGCACTGGCTTCATTCAGACCGTCCCAGGCAATGATGAGATGGCACCAGCTACTCCAGGCTGACCCTCTACCAGCTCAGAGACCACCAAGGCAGCAAGGAAGCCCCTCCTTCCCAGGAGTGACAGCAGTTTATTCATTCATTCATTTATTCATCGCACAAGTGTCTCTTGAGCTCCTCCATGTGTCAGGCACTGCTCCAGATGCTCCACAATGTCGTGGGCATGGCAGGCAGTGACAGCTCTCATGCTTCCCATGCTGTCACAGAGGAGGACAGATAATAAGCAGTAAACATGACAGGTGATCAGTAATAAAAAGTGAAGTGTGTAGCACCCTAAAGGTGTCGAGTGCCACGAGGGAGAATTCAACAGAATGAGGGGGTCTGTAAGGGTGGAAGGCTGGCTCTCAGTTCTGCAGAGGCTGGATAGAGTGGAGGCTGGGTCTCAGTTCTGCAGAGGCTGGTTAGAGCGGAGGCTGGGTCTGAGTTCTGCAGAGCTTGGTTAGGGTGGAAGCTGGGTCTCAGTTCTGCAGAGGCTGGTTAGAGTGGAGGCTGGGTCTCAGTTCTCCACAGGCTGGTTAGAGTGGAGGCTGGGTCTCAGTTCTACAGAGGCTGGTTAGAGTGGAGGCTGGGTCTCAGTTCTGCAGAGCTGGTTAGAGTGGAGGCTGGGTCTCAGTTCTACAGAGGCTGGTTAGAGTGGAGGCTGGGTCTCAGTTCTGTAGAGGCTGGTTAGAGTGGAGGATGGGTCTCAGTTCTACAGAGGCTGGTTAGAGTGGAGGCTGGGTCTCAGTTCCATAGAGGCTGGTTAGAATGGAGGCTGGGTCTCAGTTCTGTAGAGGCTGGTTAGAGTGGAGGCTGGGTCTCAGTTCTACAGAGGCTGGTTAGAGTGGAGGCTGGGTCTCAGTTCTGTAGAGGCTGGTTAGAGTGGAGGATGGGTCTCAGTTCCGTAGAGGCTGGTTAGAGTGGAGTCTGGGTCTCAGTTCTGCAGAGCTTGGTTAGGGTGGAAGGTGGGTCTCAGTTCTGCAGAGGCTGGTTAGAGTGGAGGTGGGGTCTCAGTTCTGCAGAGGCTGGTTAGAGTGGAGGCTGGGTCTCAGTTCTGTAGAGGCTGGTTAGAGTGGAGGCTGGGTCTTCATTCTTTTGGGTTGTGCCGGCAAGGCCATGACATCTCCTCCACACTGTGATGGGCTCAGCATCCAGCTCATAGTAGTTGGAACAGTCAGTATTTCTGTCTCAGGGATTATTTATCTAAGGGACTGGGGCTGAGGAGGGATCTGCAGGCTTCTAAACCTGACCACATCATCCTCCCCATGCGTCCTGCTGGCAGGAGACCACCGTTCAATATTTGACCACTTAATATTTGGTGAGATTCCATGCAAATTACTAAACTCAAGTTGCCTCCGTATGAGGGGTGTTCTGAGTCCTGCAGCTCCAACCCCCACCTCCCCACATACCCCAGCCACCGCGTCGGCACCTCTCCTCAAGTCAAGCCAGCTGCGGCCACACATTTCCATTCTGATGCCCAAGACAAAGCTGGGACAGAACACATTCTTAAAGACACTTAAGTGAACAGGCACAAAGGTGAATGACCCTTCTTCATTTTGTGGACACTGCAGACACTGTTCACATATGGCCGTTATCGACATGGATTCAGAAATCATTTTCCTGGAAACATTGCTAGGTAACTGCGGGAGAAGGGACCTTGCTATAAATGCACTGGAGTTTGCTGAAAATGTAAATACGAATTTTATCTCCTAACACCAGGGAGAGATGTTTCACTAGGGTGTTCATTATGATTTGCAAATGAAATGGACAAAATTCAGATTCTCTAAACAGTACCTCAGTGGGGCACCCTATCCCTCCATCCAAATAGATCCATGTTTCTCAAAGTGTGGTCTGGCCCATAGACCACCAGGAATGGAATCACCTAGAATGTTTATTTAAAATTTGGATTTGGGGCTGACCTCACCCTTCTAAATTCCATCTCCGGGGATGCGATCCAGGAATCAACATTACATGCAAGCACTCAGGAGATCGTGATACAGGAATCTATATTACATGCAAGCACACAGGAGACCGTGATCCAGGAATCTATATTACATGCAAGCACTCAGGAGTCCATGATCCTGGAATCTATATTACATACTAGCATGCAGAAGACCGTGATCCAGGAATCTACATTACATGCAAGCACGCAGGAGACTGTGATCCAGATTGGGATTTGCAAAACCATCCAATGAATGTCTTCTTGTTGCTCCGACACCAGCCTTTAAATGTAAAGTGACAACAGTCAAAAATATTTATAAAGAAAAAAGCAATGTACTTGTTAAAAAAAAAACTCAAACATAAATGGCTTAGATGTAAATAATAATGAAGATACCACAGGCAGAATCATAGCTTCTCTGTGATAGGCCAGCCGTTAGAATCGCTGAGCTTAGCATCTACCAGGAGCTGCTGCAGAAAAGGTCTGATGTTTTGTGTCGTGTGTGGAGTACTTGTGGTGTAACAGGATAAAGATAGTGCAGTCGCTTTGTTGTTAGAAGCAACAGCACCAGAAGCCAGGCGGGGCACACCACCCTGCAGCCAACCTCGGTGCCATCGGCTCACCTGACCTCATCGGCCCCTGAGGATGCAGGCCAGGCACCATCATTGCTTCCACTGCCGAAAGAGGAAACAGTGGGTGAGCAACATCCGTGACTTACCCAGGTTCATACGGTGAGGATGCACAGAACCGAATGCAAGCCCCAGATCCGGACCTCCTGACCTCCACTCCTGTGTTCTGGACACAGCTCCCTACTACTCAGGGGAGTGGACCAATTTGAGCCGAAGATGGTTACCTACTTGATTCGCACTTCCGTCGCCACACAAGTGATACAGCAGGGCTCTCAGAGTGCGTGCCTCTGAGATGCTTGAGAAGCAAAGTGGTCTCCATATTCCCCTGACGTCTTCTGTTCGTGACTTGAAGGAAGCAGATGATCACAAGAGTCTCTGGTGAATGCGTGAATCCAGGGCTCTAGTGAGTGCGGCCTGTCCTTTGTGCAGGAGCTTTAGAAACGTGCTACATTCTTGTGGGCCTAAGTGCCTCTTTAGGATGAAATCTTTTCAATTAGCAATCAAAGACTTTTATACCCTGCCCCTTTCCATGGTTGTCCCCTCCAGCAAATCTGTGATCCCGCTGATGTTACCTTCCCTGTTATAAGGAAGAAAACAGAGAATGCAGCGTTTGCTAACTGTCCGAGCCCACAGCGTCCATGATGGGGTGAGAACCGAAGCCAGCAGCTCCCCACTCTGGAAGTAAACTGTTGACTCATTTCCGTGTTTGTCTGAATTATTAGTTTATCATATAGTTGTAATAATCCATGGCAAATGTTTAAGATATGCCACAAAAGCAACACATGCCAAATTTGGAATCAGAAGGTCTTCAGGCTCAAATCTCAGCTCGAGCTCGTGCTGTAGAACGTGTCACCTCTGAGTGAAGACTTTCTCTTCTTGTTAAAGCAAGGTTAATTATAATACCTTCCGCAGAGAATCATAACCAGCACCAAATCAGAGGCGAAGAATGAAAGTATTTGTGGAAAATGAATTATCGTTAACTCTGCTGCCCCAGAGCTCCCTCACTGTCCTTCCTTGAGGCCCAAGAGAAAAGACGAACTGAAGGTACCAGTGGGTTTTTTTTGAAAATTTGCTTCAAGTCTACATTCTGAACGTACGGTTCATTTCAACTTTCAGATGACATAAAGCTAAATAGAGTGCTCTTCGTATCTTATTTTCCTCCTTTATTGAGTTATGATTTAAGAACCATACAATTCATCCACTTGAAGTACAATTCAGTGGTTCTTAGTTTATTTATGGACTTGCGCGAACATCAGTGCAATCCATTTTAGAACATAAACTTCACACCAAAAAGAAACCCTGTACCGCCACTCCCCACTTCCCCTAACTCCTCCAACCCCTGGCAACCACGAACCTGCATTCTCCCTGTCGTGGCCATGGAACCCCACAATACTGTATCTTTGTGTCTGGCTTCTAGCATAACGTTTTCAACATTGATCCACATTGCAGCATGTGTCAGAACTGCAATTCTTTTTATGATGGAAGCATATTCCATTGTATGGATAGACCACAGTTTATTTACCCATCCATCATGGATGTATACTTAGGTTGTTTCCTTTTGGAGGCTATTATGAATAATTCTGCTATGACCATTATTCTGTTTGTTTTCTGAGATGAGGTCTCACTCTGTTGCCCAGGCTGGAGTGCAGTGGCACAATCTCGGCTCACTACAACCTCCGCCCCCTGAGCTCAAGGAATCCTCCCTCCTCAGTGACCCCAAGTAGCTGGGTCCACAGATGTACACCACCACACCCAGCTAAGTTTTTGTATTTTTGGTAGAGACGAGATTTCATCATGTTGCCCAGGCTAGTCTCAAACTCCTAAGCTCGAGAGATCCACCTACCGCAGCCTCCCAAAGTGCTGGGATTACAGGCGTGAGCCACAGCACCCGGCCTCCTGTATGAGTTTTATGTGGACACACATTTTCATTTCTCCTGGGCATATACCAAGGAGTGGAGATGCTGGGTCCTTGATAACTCAATGTTTGACCTTTTGAGGAACTCCCAGACTGTTTTTCAAAGTGGCTGTACTACATATAATATTAAATAACATAAATTAGTTGCATATGTAACATTATATTATTGTATTGTTTTCATATACATATGTTTATATAAAAATTATCCATCATTTTTTAAAATCTGACTTATATTCTTTAATCTCTAAAGATTTACAGAGACACAGTTTTATAGCAAGAGCAGATTTTTCATCTATCTTAAAATGTGTATGTTCATCAGTATGGATATACTGACACCCATATCCTGGAGGACAAATGATTGGAGGATTTCCATAATGCTCATCACATCTGTTCTGACGTTTAAGTCACTGTCCTTTCTCAAAGGAAATCTAATTTATACTCCTTAGCACAATATTGCTATCTTTTCTTAGAAATACATTTCACAGTTGAAATATAAAGCAATTTGAGGAAAATAAGATTTTTAGAAAGACATCGGGCCTGTGTAAATATATCCTTTAGAAAATTGACTTCAGAGCGTGAGCGACGCAGAAGACGGGTGATTTCTGCATTTCCATCTGAGGTACCGGGTTCATCTCACTAGGGAGTGCCAGACAGTGGGCGCAGGCCATGGGTGCGCGCACCGGGCGCGAGCCGAAGCAGGGCGAGGCATTGCCTCACCTGGGAAGCGCAGGGGGTCAGGGAGTTCCCTTTCTGAGTCAAAGAAAGGGGTGACGGACGCACCTGGAAAATCGGGTCACTCCCACCCGAATATTGCGCTTTTCAGACCGGCTTAAAAAACGGCGCACCACGAGACTATATCCCACACCTGGCTCGGAGGGTCCTACACCCACGGAATCTCGCTGATTGCTAGCACAGCAGTCTGAGATCAAACTGCAAGGCGGCAGCGAGGCTGGGGGAGGGGCGCCCGCCATTGCCCAGGCTTGCTTAGGTAAACAAAGCAGCCGGGAAGCTCGAACTGGGTGGAGCCCACCACAGCTCAAGGAGGCCTGCCTGCCTCTGTAGGCTCCACCTCTGGGGGCAGGGCACAGACAAACAAAAAGACAGCAGTAACCTCTGCAGACTTAAATGTCCCTGTCTGACAGCTTTGAAGAGAGCAGTGGTTCTCCCAGCACGCAGCTGGAGATCTGAGAACGGGCGGACTGCCTCCTCAAGTGGGTCCCTGACCCCTGACCCCCGAGCAGCCTAACTGGGAGGCACCCCCCAGCAGGGGCACACTGACACCTCACACGGCAGGGTATTCCAACAGACCTGCAGCTGAGGGTGCTGTCTGTTAGAAGGAAAACTAACAAACAGAAAGGACATCCACACCGAAAACCCATCTGTACATCACCATCATCAAAGACCAAAAGTAGATAAAACCACAAAGATGGGGAAAAAACAGAACAGAAAAACTGGAAACTCTAAAACGCAGAGCGCCTCTCCTCCTCCAAAGGAACGCAGTTCCTCACCAGCAACGGAACAAAGCTGGATGGAGAATGACTTTGACGAGCTGAGAGAAGAAGGCTTCAGACGATCAAATTACTCTGAGCTACGGGAGGACATTCAAACCAAAGGCAAAGAAGTGGAAAACTTTGAAAAAAATTTAGAAGAATGTATAACTAGAATAACCAATACAGAGAAGTGCTTAAAGGAGCTGATGGAGCTGAAAACCAAGGCTCGAGAACTACGTGAAGAATGCAGAAGCCTCAGGAGCCGATGCGATCAACTGGAAGAAAGGGTATCAGCAGTGGAAGATGAAATGAATGAAATGAAGCGAGAAGGGAAGGTTAGAGAAAAAAGAATAAAAAGAAATGAGCAAAGCCTCCAAGAAATATGGGACTATGTGAAAAGACCAAATCTACGTCTGATTGGTGTACCTGAAAGTGATGGGGCAAATGGAACCAAGTTGGAAAACACTCTACAGGATATTATCCAGGAGAACTTCCCCAATCTAGCAAGGCAGGCCAACATTCAGATTCAGGAAATACAGAGAACGCCACAAAGATACTCCTCGAGAAGAGCAACTCTAAGACACATAATTGTCAGATTCACCAAAGTGGAAATGAAGGAAAAAATGTTAAGGGCAGCCAGAGAGAAAGGTCGGGTTACCCTCAAAGGGAAGCCCATCAGACTAACAGCGGATCTCTCGGCAGAAACCCTACAAGCCAGAAGAGAGTGGGGGCCAATATTCAACATTCTTGAAGAAAAGAATTTTCAACCCAGAATTTCATATCCAGCCAAACTAAGCTTCCTAAGTGAAGGAGAAATAAAATACTTTACAGACAAGCAAATGCTGAGAGATTTTGTCACCACCAGGCCTGCCCTAAAAGAGCTCCTGAAGGAAGCGCTAAACATGGAAAGGAACGACCGGTACCAGCTGCTGCAAAATCATGCCAAAATGTAAAGACCATCGAGACTAGGAAGAAACTGCATCAACTAACGAGCAAAATCACCAGCTAACAACATAATGACAGGATCAAATTCACACATAATATTAACTTTAAATGTAAATGGACTAAATGCTCCAATTAAAAGACACAGACTGGCAAGTTGGATAAAGAGTCAAGACCCATCAGTGTGCTGTATTCAGGAAACCCATCTCACGTGCAGAGACACACATAGGCTCAAAATAAAAGGATGGAGGAAGATCTACCAAGCAAATGGAAAAGAAAAAAAGGCAGGGGTTGCAATCCTAGTCTCTGATAAAACAGACTTTAAACCAACAAAGATCAAAAGAGACAAAGAAGGCCATTACATAATGGTAAAGGGATCAATTCAACAAGAGGAGCTAACTATCCTAAATATATATGCACCCAATACGGGAGCACCCAGATTCATAAAGCAAGTCCTGAGTGACCTACAAAGAGACTTAGACTCCCACACATTAATAATGGGAGACTTTAACACCCCACTGTCAACATTAGACAGATCAACGAGACAGAAAGTTAACAAGGATACCCAGGAATTCAACTCAGCTCTGTACCAAGCGGACCTAATAGACATCTACAGAACTCTCCACCCCAAATCAACAGAATATACATTTTTTTCAGCACCACACCACACCTATTCCAAAATTGACCACATAGTTGGAAGTAAAGCTCTCCTCAGCAAATGTGAAAGAACAGAAATTATAACAAACTATCTCTCAGACCACAGTGCAATGAAACTAGAACTCAGGATTAAGAATCTCACTCAAAACTGCTCAACTACATGGAAACTAAACAACCTGCTCCTGAATGACTACTGGGTACATAACGAAATGAAGGCAGAAATAAAGATGTTCTTTGAAACCAACGAGAACAAAGACACAACAAACCAGAATCTCTGGGACGCATTCAAAGCAGTGTGTAGAGGGAAATTTATAGCACTGAATGCCCACAAGAGAAAGCAGGAAAGATCCAAAATTGACACCCTAACATCACAATTAAAAGAACTAGAAAAGCAAGAGCAAACACATTCAAAAGCTAGCAGAAGGCAAGAAATAACTAAAATCAGAGCAGAACTGAAGGAAATAGAGACACAAAAAACCCTTCAAAAAATCAATGAATCCAGGAGCTGGTTTTTTGAAAGGATCAACAAAATTGATAGACCGCTAGCAAGACTAATAAAGAAAAAAAGAGAGAAGAATCAAATAGACACAATAAAAAATGATAAAGGGGATATCACCACCGATCCCACAGAAATACAAACTACCATCAGAGAATACTACAAACACCTCTACGCAAATAAACTAGAAAATCTAGAAGAAATTAATAAATTGCTCGACACATACACTCTCCCAAGACTAAACCAGGAAGAAGTTGAATCTCTGAATAGACCAATAACAGGAGCTGAAATTGGGGCAATAATCAATAGTTTACCAACCAAAAAGAGTCCAGGACCAGATGGATTCACAGCCGAATTCTACCAGAGGTACAAGGAGGAACTGGTACCATTCCTTCTGAAACTATTCCAATCAATAGAAAAAGAGGAAATCCTCCCTAACTCATTTTATGAGGCCAGCATCATTCTGATACCAAAGCCGGGCAGAGACACAACCAAAAAAGAGAATTTTAGACCAATATCCTTGATGAACATCGATGCAAAAATCCTCAATAAAATACTGGCAAACCGAATCCAGCAGCACATCAAAAAGCTTATCCACCATGATCAAGTGGGCTTCTTCCCTGGGATGCAAGGCTGGTTCAATATACGCAAATCAATAAATGTAATCCAGCATATAAACAGAGCCAAAGACAAAAACCACATGATTATCTCAATAGATGCAGAAAAAGCCTTTGACAAAATTCAACAACCCTTCATGCTAAAAACTCTCAATAAATTAGGTATTGATGGGACGTATTTCAAAATAATAAGAGCTATCTATGACAAACCCACAGCCAATATCATACTGAATGGGCAAAAACTGGAAGCATTCCCTTTGAAAACTGGCACAAGACAGGGATGCCCTCTCTCACCGCTCCTATTCAACATAGTGTTGGAAGTTCTGGCCAGGGCAATCAGGCAGGAGAAGGAAATAAAGGGTATTCAATTAGGAAAAGAGGAAGTCAAATTGTCCCTGTTTGCAGACGACATGATTGTTTATCTAGAAAACCCCATCGTCTCAGCCCAAAATCTCCTTAAGCTGATAAGCAACTTCAGCAAAGTCTCAGGATACAAAATCAATGTACAAAAATCACAAGCATTCTTATACACCAGCAACAGACAAACAGAGAGCCAAATCATGAGTGAACTCCCATTCACAATTGCTTCAAAGAGAATAAAATACCTAGGAATCCAACTTACAAGGGATGTGAAGGACCTCTTCAAGGAGAACTACAAACCACTGCTCAAGGAAATAAAAGAGGATACAAACAAATGGAAGAACATTCCATGCTCATGGGTAGGAAGAATCAATATCGTGAAAATGGCCATACTGCCCAAGGTAATTTACAGATTCAATGCCATCCCCATCAAGCTACCAATGACTTTCTTCACAGAATTGGAAAAAACTACTTTAAAGTTCATATGGAACCAAAAAAGAGCCCGCATCGCCAAGTCAATCCTAAGCCAAAAGAACAAAGCTGGAGGCATCACACTACCTGACTTCAAACTATACTACAAGGCTACAGTAACCAAAACAGCATGGTACTGGTACCAAAACAGAGCTATAGATCAATGGAACAGAACAGAGCCCTCAGAAATAACACCGCATACCTACAACTATCTGATCTTTGACAAACCTGAGAAAAACAAGCAATGGGGAAAGGATTCCCTATTTAATAAATGGTGCTGGGAAAACTGGCTAGCCATATGTAGAAAGCTGAAACTGGATCCCTTCCTTACACCTTATACAAAAATCAATTCAAGATGGATTAAAGATTTAAACGTTAGACCTAAAACCATAAAAACCCTAGAAGAAAACCTAGGCATTACCATTCAGGACATAGGCATGGGCAAGGACTTCATGTCCAGAACACCAAAAGCAATGGCAACCAAAGCCAAAATTGACAAATGGGATCTAATTAAACTAAAGAGCTTCTGCACAGCAAAAGAAACTACCATCAGAGTGAACAGGCAACCTACAACATGGGAGAAAATTTTCGCAACCTACTCATCTGACAAAGGGCTAATATCCAGAATCTACAATGAACTCAAACAAATTTACAAGAAAAAAACAAACAACCCCATCAAAAAGTGGGAGAAGGACATGAACAGACACTTCTCAAAAGAAGACATTTATGCAGCCAAAAAACACATGAAAAAATGCTCATCATCACTGGCCATCAGAGAAATGCAAATCAAAACCACTATGAGATATCATCTCACACCAGTTAGAATGGCAATCATTAAAAAGTCAGGAAACAACAGGTGCCGGAGAGGATGTGGAGAAATAGGAACACTTTTACACTATTGGTGGGACTGTAAACTAGTTCAACCATTGTGGAAGTCAGTGTGGCGATTCCTCAGGGATCTAGAACTAGAAATACCATTTGACCCAGCCATCCCATTACTGGGTATATACCCAAAGGACTATAAATCATGCTGCTATAAAGACACATGCACACGTATGTTTATTGCGGCATTATTCACAATAGCAAAGACTTGGAACCAAGCCAAATGTCCAACAATGATAGACTGGATTAAGAAAATGTGGCACATATACACCATGGAATACTATGCAGCCATAAAAAATGATGAGTTCATGTCCTTTGTAGGGACATGGATGAAATTGGAAATCATCATTCTCAGTAAACTATTGCAAGAACAAAAAACCAAACACCGCATATTCTCACTCATAGGTGGGAACTGAACAATGAGAACACGTGGACACAGGAAGGGGAACATCACACTCTGGGGACTGTGGTGGGGTGGGGGGAGCGGGGAGGGATAGAATTGGGAGATATACCTAAGGCTAGATGACGAGTTAGTGGGTGCAGCGCGCCAGCATGGCACATGTATACATATGTAACTAACCTGCACAATGTGCACATGTACCCTAAAACTTAAAGTATAATAAAAAAAAAAAAAAGAAAAGAAAAGAAAATTGACTTCAACTGAAATTTATGCACTGCGCACCCAGCTCCATGAGGACAAGGGCGATGCCTTCATAAATGATGCCCAGAAAGTATTTGATAGATGAGTAACTCATTTTCTAAATTAACATATTTTGGGAGAGTAGTTTAACAGCAGCAGTAAAGCCCTTTTTCGAGAACCTGTTCTGTACTGCTTCGGACAGATGTAGGTCTCCATTCTGAATTCATGTCCACCCTGCATGTTCAGTTCACTCACACTGGCCTCCTCTGTATTCTTTTTGGAAAAATCATAGAGAAAGATTAGCAAATTGAATTTTTTAAAAATAAGCCTCAAAAATGTTGAATGCCAAAGGACTAAATTGCTACCTTCCATTCTAGCTCTATCAACTATTCCCGGTACAAATATGAACAGTAAGGCCAGGCTTTGCAATGCGTGACCTGACAGGTCTCAGACTCGGCGGGGTTTTCAGCGAAAATGGGCCTCAGGAGGCCTTTGGAAGAGCCAGGTGGGGGAGGCTGGTTCACTGCAAGTGTATGCCCTGGCTTCAGCGGTGACTGAGCCCTCGTAGCCCAGGGGACATGGTGGATCATCACATACTTCTCATGGGATCCTTCACAAACCCCACCAGCACCTTCAGCAGATGGAGAAATCAACTCTTCACAGGCAGAAAAAAAACGGATGGCACAGACCTGGGGTCTCCTGAGCATTTGCAGTCAGGCAAGAGAACAGCCGTGGGGCCTCTGCAGCCAGAGGGTGAATCTCACCTCAGAACTGACTCAGTGAACACGGAATTACCAGCCACATTGGCAGAGACCTCACAGTCAGTGCTGCTGGTACCACAGGCAGGACAAGGGGTGCCGAGGTTGGAATATGACCACAGACACCCGGCGGACTGGAGGTGGCCTCTGCCGCAGCTGCCATTGACGGCTTGGACCCCGCTTTGTGTTGCCAGCATCACCTCCAGGTGTGCAGAAAACATGACTTACCGGACGACCTTGTGCCCACACGAGCTCCGGGGACTCTGGGAAAGGAGACCTCCCAGGCGGAGCCCCCTGTGGCACAGCCTCTGCCTCTGCAGTGCTGGGCTCCCCAAACCAACAACTACAGCAGCAGAACTGATATGCAGGTTGGCCAAGCCAAGGACAGTTGCTCACCCTGGCGACACGATTTTTTAAAATGTAATAATGGGGAGTTCTGGCTCTGGGATAATAACTTATATTGAAGAAACACTCATACAGATGACAGCCATGAACTGTGGAGCCCACACACACATGCATTGCACGTGCACACACGTGCACACGCACACACACACACGCATGCCCTCCTGTTTGAAAGCAGAGTTGGGCAGGAAGTAGAGACTATTCACATTTTAAAGGAAAGGCGCCGCGCTCACTCGCGGCTGCCCATGGTCCTGTGAGTTCCCTCTGAGCACCCTCGCTACCTGCTGCAGGAGGGCGGTAGGAACTGAAGCAGACAGCTGCAGTCTCCTTGGATGTGTCTGTTACAGGATGGAATTTGGGGTTGCCAGAAGAGGTGGGGGTCAGAACAGAAGGGATGGAGCCATGGAGGGAGACCCCAAAGTCTATTAACATTTGCGGACCCCTGAAAAAGTTTAGTTTCCAGCTGCTGACCACCGATGGTGAAGATCAGTCTGGAGGCTGAACCCCACCAAGTGCACAGGCCAGGTAAACCATCTGCAGCTTCCCCAGGCCCACCCCAGCAACGCACGAGCCAAACACCCAAAGCTAAGGAGGATCGGCCACAACCAAAATTAGCACACATTGGAGGAGGGAGCAGGTGCCGGGGTCTCTGCCAGTCGTGTCCTTTATGCCGAAAAGAGGCTGAAGTTGTAGCAACATGAAACCCACCTGCAAGGAAAAAACTGATGTGCTCAAAACGAAGCCTGAGAAGACCCCGATGGTAGAACTCACCAGAAAGATCTTTAAACAGCCATTGTAAGGTCTTATGAATGATATAAAAATGTTAGAACTCACCGGAAAGATCTTTAAAGCAGCCATTGTAAGGTCTTATGAATGATACAAAAATGTTAGAATTCACCGGAAAGATCTTTAAACAGCCATTGTAGTCTTATGAATGATATAAAAATGTTAGAACTCACCGGAAAGATCTTTAAACAGCCATTGTAAGGTCTTATGAATGATATAAAAATGTTAGAACTCACCGGAAAGATCTTTAAAGCAGCCATTGTAAGGTCTTATGAATGACATAAAAATATTAGAATTCACCAGAAAGATCTTTAAAGCAGCCATTGTAAGGTCTTATTACTGATATAAAAATGTTAGAACTCACCGGAAAGATCTTTAAAGCAGCCATTGTAAAGTCTTATGAATGATATAAAAATGTTAGAATTCACCAGAAAGATCTTTAAAGCAGCCATTGTAAGGTCTTATGAATGATATAAAAATGTTAGAATTCACCAGAAAGATCTTTAAAGCAGCCATTGTAAGGTCTTATGAATGATATAAAAATGTTAGAACTCACCAGAAAGATCTTTAAACAGCCATTGTAAGGTCTTATGAATGATAAAAAATGTTAGAACTCACCACAAAGATCTTTAAAGCAGCCGTTGTAAGGTCTTATGAATGATATAAAAATGTCTGTTACAAGGTTAAAGATGTTAAAGGAGAAGAAGGTCTTAATGCCTGACTAGATGGAGAAATGAAATCCATGAGAAAGAGACAAATTGAATTTTCAAGAACAGAAAACCACAATATCTGAAATGAAAAATTTATGGGATGTGTTTAAGAGCGAATTGAGAGAGCAGGAAAAAAGCTTAGTAATTTGAAAATGAAACAGTAGATATTCTCAAATATGAAAAAGTAGAGGTAAGATATTAAAAAAAAGAATAGAGCCTCAGTAATATGTGTAGTAAGAAGAAGTGAAGGGACACACATATTATTAGAGAACCAGGGAGAAAACTGAGAGAATTTGGCAGAAGGTTTTGAAGAAAAAATGGCCAAATATTTTACAAATTTGGTTTGAAAGAATCCACAGACCCAAAATGCTCAGTGAACTCTAAGAAGATAAATAGAAAAAAATCATACCTAGCCACAAAATAGTTAAACTGTGGAAAACCAGAGAGAGACAAGTCTGTAAAGCAACCAAGGAAGGGGTCAAACAGAAACTAGAGGAATAATTAGAAAATTATGACTGCCTTATTGTCAGAAGCAATGGGAGCCAGAAGACAATGGAATCATACCTTTAAAGTGATCAAAAACATCTATTGATTCAGAATACTATACCCAGCAAAAATATCTTTTAAAAAATGAGAGCAAAATAAAGACTTTTCAAACAGAAGCTAAGGAATCTATTTTTAACTTAAATACATGTATCCACATGTGGCTACTTTTTTATCTTTCATTTAGTTTCAGGGGTACATGCACAGATTTGTGATTTAGGTAAACTCACGTCATGTGGGTTTGGTGTACAGATTATTTCGTCATCCAGGTAATAAGCATTGCACCTAATAGGTATTTTTTTCTGATCCTCTCCCTCCTTCTAACCTCCAGGAGGCCCCAGTATGTGTAGTTTTCCTCTCTGTGTCCATGTGTTCTCATCACTTAGCTCCCACTTATAAGGGAGAACATGCAGTATTTGGTTTTCTGTCCCTGTGTTAGTTTGCTAAGGATAATGGCCTCCAGCTCCATCCATGTTGCTGCAAAGGACATGATCTCATTCTTTTTTATGGCTGCATAGTATTCCACGGTGTACATGCACCACATTTTCTTTATCTGTCTACCATTGATGGGCATTTAGGTTGATTCCATGTTTTTGCTATAGTGAATAGTGCTGCAATGAATGTGCATGTGTTTTAATGGTAGAATGAGTTCTCTTCCTTTGTGTGTATACACAATAATGGGATTGCTGGGTCAGATGGTAGTTCTGTTTTTAGTTCTTTGAGGATTTGCCACTCTGCTTTCCCCAATGGTTGAACTAATTTATGCTCCCACCAGCAGTGTATGAGCATTCCCTTTTCTTCACAGCCTCACAGCATCTGTTGTTTGTCCACTTTTTAGTAATAGCCATTCTGATGGGTGTGAGATACTATCTTATTGGGGTTTTGATTTGCATTTCTTTAATGATCCATGATGTTGAGCATTTTTTCATGTGCTTGTTGGCCACATGTATGTCTTCGTTTGAAAAGTGTCTGTTCATGTTCTTTGCCCACATTGTTTTTTGCTTGCAAATTTGTTTAAGTTCCTTATAGATGCTGGGTATTAGACCTTTGTTGGATGCATAGTTTGGAAATATTTTCTCCCATTTTGTACGTTTTCTGTTTACTCTGTCGATAGTTTCTTTTGCTGTGCAGAAGCTCTTAAGTTTAATTAGATCCCATTATCTACCATAATGGACAGCGCACCTCTAGAGCAACCACTCAAATATTAACGCTATGCATTACAGCCAATACGAGCTAAAGCTCAATGTTAAAAATATTTGATTAACCCAAAAGAAAGCAAAAAGAAATCAGAGGAACAAGTATATGAATAGGACATATGGAAAACAACAGTAAAATGGTAGGCTTCAACCCAGTCATAATAATACGTGTACTAAAGTAAGTGGAATAAGTAAGTAAAAGGCTACAGTTCTAACCCTGGGGAAAAAATGTCAACATTAAGGGTGCAACATTTAACTCCCTCCGTAAGATGAGATAAAACACGAGGATGCCGACTCTCAGCTCCTCTACTTAACATTCTAATGGAGGTCCTCGCCAGACACAGAAGGCAAACAAGAAGAGAAAAAGCACGAAATTTAAAAGGAAGGAGCTCCTTCCATGTTTAGGTTCCAGGTTTATTCTTATATCACATGATTGTTTACATAGAAAACCTAAGGAAACTACAAATCAAATCCTGGAACAGATCATGCCATTCATCAAGGCTAGGACATGAATGAAATAGGTAGAAATCAATTGCATTTCTGTAGACCCATAATGAATAATTGGAAAATGCAATTAGTTTTAAACATCTCAACAGCATTGTAGAATTGTGGTGCTCTAAGATAGGCCATCTAAATAAATCGAGAGCTAGACTGTGATGCATTGGAAGTCTCAGTAATGTGAAGATGTGAAATCTCCCCAGACTGAGGTATGGATTCAGTGCAACCTCAGTAGAATCAATGTCATTCAAAGCAACCTCAGTTTTTAGAGAAACTGACAAGAAGATTCTAAAATGTGTGAAAATGTGAAGAACCTAGAAGTGCCAAGACAGTCTTGATAAAAAAGAACACAGTTGGAGGACTCACGCTATCTGATTTCAAGACTTGCGTTAAATCTAATCGGGACAGTGTGATATTCATATAAGAATAGAAAAGGGTCTCTCAGCCTCAGCACTCTTGATATTTGGGGCCAGACAATTGTCTCTCATTGGGGGGATCTCCGTGCACCTTCAGCATTCTTGATATTTGGGGCCAGACGATTCTCTCTTGTTGGGGGCCCTCTGTGCACTGTAGGATCTTTTCATGGCATCTCTGGCACCTGTCCAGTAGACACGAGTAGCACCCTCCTCTAAATTGTGGCAAACTCAAAATATCTCCAGACATCACCAGATGTCCCTTGAGGGCCTAATCGCCCCAGATTAAGAACTACTCAAATAGACAAAATAGATCCGTGTGACAGAATAGAGACTCCAGCCGTCAAAATCTTTAAATTCTGTTCATTAAAAGACACAACTAAGAAAATGGAAAGGCAAGCCATAGAATAAGGGAAATGTCTGTCTGACAAAGGGCTTGAATGCAGAATATGTAAAGAACTCCTACAAAACAAGAACGTAAAGACAACCCCAGAAAAATGGGCATAAAAGCCAAAAGGTTACTTTGCAAAAGAAGATACACAAATGTCCAATAAGAATTAGTCATCCAGGAGGTGAAAGTGAAAACTTTATTGGGATACACTTCAATTTCACTAGAATGGCCTAAGTTAAAAAGAATGACAATACAACATGCCCATGAGGATACGGGTGGAGGCCACAGTCAACATCTGTCAAAACTCACTGAGTCCTACAAGTGAGACCTGTGCCTTTCACTGTCTATCAATTTTCTCTCAATTAATACAATTTAATGGGTATATATTTTTCTGTTTCATTTCTATGTAAGAAAGAAAAATAAATTTTTTGGTAAGTTTACCTTGTTCTTTTAAGAAAAATTTAAACAGTTGAAATATTTTCTTCAGACCAGTTGTTTCTGAGACATCTACCAAATGCTAAAATCTCGAGTCACAATACAGGTCTTGCAAGGACAAGTTAAACATAGTATGTGTTAACATTAAGTAAGTGCTCACCATGTATTATACTTGTATTGCATGTAACATTCTTACCTTATATTCACAGAACTCCATAAGTTATGTCCTGTGACTACTGTCCTCATTGTACATTGCATAGATTAAGAGATTTGTCCAAATGACACCGTTGGCGAGAGGTTGAGCCAGGATCTCAATGTGGGCTTTCAGGCATCAACACATGTGCTCCACTGTGCATACAAACTGCCTTCTGCGCACCATGTTACTTCCGACCTGTAAAGCACATTTCACGGCCAAGCACACTGTTGGCCTCAGCATAGCGTTTCCTGTAGACAGGAAAAATGATCCCAGGCCCGCCTCTTTGAGTGTCTTTCCCATGGTGTCTTATTTTCACCTTCTAAAAATAAATGTTCACGTTGCTTCATCCCCCCATCCAAGAAAACTCACAGCCTTTCTCAAATCGCCTGTCCTCTCTGCTGTTCCTGACAAATTGTTCAAAAGTTCCACTCATACTTCCATTTTCTTACCTTAACGTCTGCGATCTCATTTCTGCACCCATATCCACTGAAACTGTCCTTTTTAAAAATGACCCCAGCTTGCTGCATCTGACGGTCTTTCCCCATCTCATTCCACTTGATTTCTCAGCATCTGCTCCGGGGCCGGGCTCCTCCTGTCCCTCGGGTGCCCAGGAGCGTCCCCCGCCCCACGCCCCTCTCAGTTTCCTCCTGGATTCCCTTCGTGGCCCCGCCTCACCCGAGAGGCCTCCTCCACCTTTCTGCTGCGTGACACTCACAGCCCGACGTCTTCCACACTTTTACATCTGAAGCACTCAGAGGTTCACAGCCCTGCCCGTCACACTTGCTCTGTTCTTTCACAGACTTCTTGGAAGTGCCCTAGAATCAGCAGGTCCAAATCAAACTCAGGTCCAACCTCCAAAACCTGTTTTTCTTCCTATCATAGATCTTGCCTTTGTTGGGAGAAGTCTAGGCACCTTGGAATCATCTCACCTCTAACACATTCCTCATTCCTGTGGGCTCTGTCCCTAAAATCCAAGCCCTTTGGTGTCTCATGAGAAACCAGCTCAAGTCTGCAGGAGCCTCTCGGGGTCTGTGTCCAGGACACCACTTCCTGCATTCAGGCACCTCGTCCTCCAGGCCCCACGCACAGGGACCGTCCTGAGCTCCCAGCTCACAAGTCCCTGATTAAGAACTTGCAGTACTTTTCTTTTGCCTGTGGCATAAACATCAAGCTGTCTGGGGTGTCCCTCACAGTTTCCCACTCTGCTTCCCCAAACTTCTCTCCCAGAATGCCTTTCCCCCTTTACCCTCTGCTCTCCAGACAAACAATGCTCACTCCCCGCCTCCCAGCTGGCACACACTCTACATTTCCTTTTAGCATTTTGCATTAAGAAATCTATGTTCCAGTCTTTGTCCCCAACACACTGTCAACTACACGAGTGCTACGCTTGCCATCTTGCAGAAGGCCTTTCTTGCACTTCCAAGCACCCAGACTTACGTGGGAGGTGCCTTATTAAGATGCCTTCTCCTCGTGTTCTGTTTGGGAAGCCTTTGGTGGCACATCCTTCAAACCTGCCCAGTCCTGGTTATAGCAAAGGACGGGTAGAGCCAAGTGGACGAGAGCCGGAGGTGGTTGGTCCGGCTGGGTCAGGGTCAGCTGCACTGGGACCAGGGCAGAGGAGAGCCAGAGGAGGTTGTCCACACTGGGTTGGGGTCAGCTACACGAGGACCAGGGCAAAGGAGGTTGTCATGGCTGGGTCACTGTTAGCTGCACTGGGACCAGGGCAGAGGAGAGCCAGAAGAGGTTGTCCACACCGGGTTGGGGTCAGCCCCGTTGGGACCCAAGCCAGCGTCATGCATCTGAGCATGCTGGCTCTCACTCTCAGCTGGCCGTGGGTCAGCCATTGCAGCCCCACCTGCCACGGGCTCCAGGAAGAGCAGTCATCAGTATGGAGAAGGCCGGACTCTGCTCAGAAGCCACTGAGCAGGTGCTCCATAGACTCACCAGCTGGAGCGGGGTCACATCTCGGAGGCACCGTCAGCACCAGGAGGGCAGCCAAGCAAGGGTATGGCATTTCCGAGCCTCTGCGGTCAAGGGTATCGCATTTCCGAGCCTCTGCGGTCAAGGGTATGGCGTTTCCGAGCCTCTGCGGTCAAGGGTATGGCGTTTCCGAGCCTCTGCAGTCAAGAGCCCAGAGATGGGTTGTCGGGGCAGCTGTGGGGGCATCCCAGATGTGGGTGCCAACAGTGAGATGCAAATGTGGATTTCCCTCAAAAATGTGCTGTTAGGGAACAAGCATGCCTTCATCTCCTGCAAGGGCACAGAAAGCTCAAGAACACTTTTTACACTGAATGTGGAAATGATCTGGAAAGAAGCCATTTTCTGAAATCCAGTCATTAATTGTGATATTATTTGAAATGTATACTGAAAGGTGTTCTAAGAATTTCCATTTTGCAGGTGGAATAATACACACATGTGCACGCACAGCACACGCACGCGTGTGCACACGAATGTCTGTTTCACTAGCACTGTTTAGCGTGCTCCATTTTCCATTGAATGCAGTGGAAGAAACACTTCTTATATTTGGGAGCTTCTCCTGTCAGATCCCATTTATAGAAATGAGAAGATGATCTCTGTATTTCAAATGAACACATTTAGTATGGAAAAAAATTTTCTTAAATATCTCCTTAGCACAACCTGCATAGAATCCTTACTGCTTTCCAAGGTAACAAGGGAGATGGTTTACGTTGTGTATTTTCAAGCATGTTTAGATGGATCTAAACAGCTGGGGTCAGAGGCCCTTTCAGGGGTACCCTTTGTTATGTATATTCGTTCTCATAATGACCTAAGTCACAGAGGAGGTTCTGAGCCCAGGATTCAGCAAGCAGCTCTGGAACCATTCGCAAAGGGCGAGAACAAGGTTGAACACCAGGAATCCTGCAGTTCTGTCTTGGGGTTATGGATTCACTTGCACAGCTTTCCGTCTCGCCTGTTTGTGGATGACAATCTAAGGGGAGCAACATCTGAAAGGCAAAACTAGAACAAAAACATTTCTGTGTTATTCTAGAAAACTTTTCACTATTTAAAAAAAAATTCTGAGCTACTAAGTCCATATAGCAAAATATGTTTCCATTTCTGACACCTGGGATGCCGCAGGAATTACCACTTAGAGAGATAACCAAAGGGGCTGAAAGTCAACTTCAAAATGCCCCGGGATGTAGGAGGGGGATTTTCAGGGGGAAGAGTCAGGTGGATTTTGTGGAGTGAGCCGTGCTGGGGACTTCACCCTGTGTCACCTGGCGGGGCCACCGGAGGGTGCATCCCCCCATCTTGATTGGCTCCCCCTAGTCCTAGTTCTTGAGTTTTGATCTGTGACTGTGAGGAACCTGGCCTTCTGGGACTCTATATGATAAAATGCTAAGCCATTATAATATTTTTTAAAAAGCCTCTTAAGCCAAATGAGGCTGAGGTTTTATTTGTTATTTTTTAACTATTTAAAAAGTCTGTGGTATCAGAGGATGGGATCTTTGGCTCTGTGGTCCTATGACTCAGCATCTTGAGTGCTTAAAATCCCAGTGACCTTGGGATTTTAAAGCATGAATTCCAGAGCCAGGCCACCTGGACTCAGAAGGGAGTGCTGCCCCCATCCCGCCCAAGCCTGAGTGCATGACCTGGCACCAGTGTGTGATGACCTGGCACCAGTGTGTGAAGACCTGTGCGTGATGACCTGGAACCAGTGCGTGATGACCTGACACCAGTGTGTGATGACTTGGCACCAGTGCTTGATGACCTGACACCAGTGCATCATGACCTGACACCAGCGCGCAATGACCTGACACCAGTGCACGATGACCTGGCACCAGTGCGTGATGACCTGACACCAGTGCGTCATGACCTGACACCAGTGCGTGATGACCTGGCACCAGTGCGTGATGACCTGACACCAGTGTGTGATGACCTGGCACCAGTGTGCGATGACGTGGCCCCAGTGTGCCATGACCTGGCACCAGTGTGTGATGACCTGACACCAGTGTGTGATGACCTGGCACCAGTGCACAATGACCTTGCAGCAATGTGCGTCTGATGCTGCATTCATAGGAGGAAGGTTGGGAAGAGGCCTGGTTTATAGGACTAATGTAAACATTAAATGTGTTAGGACAATGCAAAACACTTATTAGCATTTCTGGCGTAATCTTGCATAGAAAATGTTAGCTATTGTGAGTCTATGTTTTAAAAAAAATTATTAGCTTTCTTCAGCGGCAACATTTATGTGTCACACTCCATTTTGAAATAAAGAGAATCATTGAGAGAATATGTATTTGAAACATAGACTCACAAAATACATGGATCCACCTGTGAGGGCTGTCCAGCAGCCACTGCCAGAGTGATGAGCCATGGCTCAGAGGTGATCCCTTCGTTCACGTAGCAGGCACTGGTTAGAAACTGTGGACACCAGATCCAGAGGACGAGAATCCTTCTTTTATGTTTTCTCAGTCTAGAAGGCAGCTTCAATTTGAGAATGTTAAAATGCAAAACGGTGGTGTTAATCAGAAGGAACTGCTGTTGTATTGGAAGAAAATTGGTAATTGGTAGAAAGTGCCGATTGGTAGAAATGGAGGGTATGAAACCAGCAATCTCAAGGAAGCATGGAAGGAGAGCAGAAGTGCGGGAAGTTTACATTTCTGCAAAGACAAAGGTGAGTCAAGTTAAGAGCCTCAGTCAGGGCTCTTGGCATCCACCTGAGGCCACACTGCTCGGGCTCCATAGCTCGGGGCTTCGTCCGCTGCACATGACTCTGTATTAAACACGCACAGGCACGTGGACACATTCAAAGGAAGCCAGCAGTGGTCTCTTACAGAATGAGTCCACGCATCCATCAACCTGAGCCTGAAACTTGTGACCGTGTCTCAGGATGCTGTTGACATTTTGCCGCTCTGTTGAACCCATGCTTTCAGGGTGGTGACAGCCAAGGTCAGGGATCCGTGTTAGCTCGCCTTCTGTTCACTGGCAGTCGACCTGGGGGATCCACAGAGGAGGGGAGGGGACAGGGCCCCTGCTGGTGCTGGTGCCGGTCCCCACATCTGCAGCAGAGCTGCCCGTCCCACTGCCCAGGTGCAGCGGGAGTCGGCGGGCATCGATGTGAAGACTGTGTGCTTCATACCCAGTAAAATTAGAATCAGCTCAAAACTAATTTCCTCCCTTTGCTTTCTCTCTCTCTCTCTCTCTCTCTGTCTCTCTCTCTCTCTCTTTCCTTTTTTTGGTCTAAGTCAGGGAGGGGAAGGTAGGTAGGAGCTGCTATATGTTATACATTTTCTTTTAAAGCAAAAATATTTAGCAGAAAGAATGACTTTAAATCTATAATGAATAAGCTTCACTTAATAAGAATTCATTGAGTCCAGTTTTTTTTCTCTGATATTCCATTTTTAAAGACTGAAGTAAATCAGAGAAAAACCACACCAAGGGTTTACTTTGAAAAGAAAGTGTGTGCTTTAATGCCCAACTCTGGAGTCAGAATCGTCCACCTAACATCTATAGACATTTTTATGTACCTGCTTGTGCACTGATATTTAATGTTCCTATTATCATCCAAAACAGGCAAGAAGAATAATTAATCATTTCTGTCCACATTTCTACAGCTTTTGTTAAAATAAAATGAATTTTACTGCACTGTGGAAAGATTGTCAATAAAACTGGAAAGTGGTCCAGTTAGCCAGAAGTTTAAGCTAAGCCAGACCTTTCATCGGCCAAACACTCACAGGGTTCTTCCATGCTTTTAACATTTCACAAAACGGCGAGAAGGAAGACCAGAGAACATTGATTTATTTTAAGGGAGTTTGGAAGAAAACGACCGTTGTGATTATAAAATGGTTTTCATTTAGCCTACTCCTCCTATTATATTTGCTGATATTGCATAACCTGGACAACTTTGCATAAGTTAAAACTGAAAGTGAGCCTTGTATTTTTTCTGTTATTTTTTAAATATGTAAAGTTGCCAGAGAGCCAATAATTTTTATGAGACTCTCAGTTTTTTGGCTTAAATTCAGGAGCTGAGTTTGCTATTATGCTGTGTGAGTTACTAGTGCTTACAGCACTTTTTTAAAAATATGGAATGACCCAAATTTCACTACCTGGCCATAAAATCTCAGGTTTCAAAGGCAATTTTGTAAATAGCCTCCCCTATTACTTTTGATGAAATTCACATTCATAAATATGAATCTCAGAATATTTGCATATGGCAAAGTTACTCATCAAGACACAGACATTCAGTTGGAAATGTGATGCTAGCCTCTGGGTGTGGGTTGGACGGTCGTTCCCATCTCTGGCCTGTGGCGGGTGCTCAGCCTCTGGGTGTGGGTTGGACGGCTGTTCCCATCTCTACCCTGTGGCGGGTGCTCAGCCTCTGGGTGTGGGTTGGATGGCTTTCCCATCTCTGGCCTGTGGCGGGTGCTCAGCCTCTGGATGTGGGTTGGACGGCTGTTCCCACCTCTGCCCTGTGGCGGGTGCTCAGCCTCTGGGTGTGGGTTGGACGGCTGTTCCCATCTCTACCCTGTGGCGGGTGCTCAGCCTCTGGGTGTGGGTTGGACGGCTGTTCCCATCTCTACCCTGCAGCGGGTGCTCACCCTCTGGGTGTGGGTTGGACGGCTGTTCCCATCTCTGCCCTGTGGTGGGTGCTCACCTCTGGGTGTGGGTTGGACGGCTGTTCCCATCTCTACCCTGCAACAGGTGCTCAACCTCTGGGTGTGGGTTGGACGCTGTTCCCATCTCTACCCTGCAGCGGGTGCTCACCCTCTGGGTGTGGGTTGGACGGCTGTTCCCATCTGTACCCTGTGGTGGGTGCTCAGCCTCTGGGTGTGGGTTGGACGGTCGTTCCCATCTCTACCCTGCAGCAGGTGCTCAGCCTCTGGGTGTGGGTTGGACGGCTGTTCCCATCTCTACCCTGCAGCAGGTGCTCAGCCTCTGGGTGTGGGTTGGACGGTCGTTCCCACCTCTGCCCTGTGGTGGGTGCTCAGCCTCTGGGTGTGGGTTGGATGGTCATTCCCACCTCTGCCCTGCAGCGGGTGCTCACAGAATGCCTTTTCTCCTTTCTTCTTTCCTGTAGCCAGACCTACCTGCAAGCTGCAAGCGATGTGCCTGTGGGACACAGCCTGGACCCCGCTGCGAACTACAACTCCCCGAAATTCCGCTCCCGGAACCAGAGCTACATGAGGGCCGTCAGCACCCTGAGCCAGGCCAGCTGCGTGAGCCAGGTCAGGGTCCCTTCGCCCTTTCTCCCTGGGGTCCAGTCTCCCCAGCCAGGCTGGCACGGAGGCCCCGGCCGCATAGGTGGCGATGGCGCTGCCCTCCTGGTCAGCAGCACTTGGGCAAGGCTACACCAAAGGGGGTTCCCCTGGAATTAGCTCTGGCTGATTAGACTCGTGGACTTACTGTTATATTTTTGACGTGTATAACTCCATATCATTTTTGCGTTGATTTTTTTCTGAGGAAGCAATGACCAAAAGGGTGGTCATCCTGGCCTCTCTTGTTGATAAAGCACAGGCTGTCTTCCTTCTTCCCAGGCTATTTTTCCAGTAAAAGGGGGCCAGGGAAAGGCTCTGGCAGCATGGCTCTCAGCTCTGTCCTCTGAATTGTGCCTCAGAAAGTCCTGTGAGAGGATAGCCTGGTGTCGCTCACAGAGTCCTGCCGGTCGGCCCCACTCCCAGGGCAGGACTGATTTCGGGACAGGCACAGTGGCCAGGAGAAGGGTCCCTGGGCACCACGGGAGGGGTGGTATTAAAATCAGGTGCCTGAGACACGGGGGCTGTGAAAGGGAGGCCCCCCTGCTCCCCACCTGTGGTGGACGGGCCTGAGAACGCACAGTGAAAAAATCGGCAAGTGTCCTTCAGTCTAATCATCCTATATTACATGGCAAAGAAGAATCGAAAGTTTATCATTTTAATTAAGCACGTTGCTTACTCACTTAAATGCCTTTGAAAACAGTGCTTGAGCTGACCTTGAGTTTGTATACCTAACAAACATTTTCTCTTAGTGTGGAGTAGGGATTAAGAGCCTGAGCCGACCTCACATTCTCTCTGACTTACTGTGGAGTAGGGATTAAGATCTTGAGCCGACCTCACATTCTCTCTGACTTACTGTGGAGCAGGGATTAAGAGCCTGAGCCGACCTCACATTCTCTCTGACTTACTGTGGAGCAGGGATTAAGAGCCTGAGCCGACCTCACATTCTGTCTGACTTACTGTGGAGCAGGAATTAAGAGCTTGAGCCGACCTCACATTCTTTCTGACTTACTGTGGAGCAGGGATTAAGAGCCTGAGCTGACCTCACATTCTCTCTGACTTACTGTGGAGCAGGGATTAAGAGCTTGAGCCGACCTCACATTCTGTCTGACTTACTGTGGAGCAGGAATTAAGAGCCTGAGCTGACCTCACATTCTCTCTGACTTACTGTGGAGCAGGAATTAAGAGCCTGAGCTGACCTCACATTCTTTCTGACTTACTGTGGAGCAGGGATTAAGAGCCTGAGCTGACCTCACATTCTCTCTGACTTACTGTGGAGCAGGAATTAAGAGCTTGAGCCGAGCTCACATTCTCTCTGACTTACTGTGGAGCAGGGATTAAGAGCTTGAGCCAACCTCACATTCTCTCTGACTTACTGTGGAGCAGGAATTAAGAGCTTGAGCCGACCTCACATTCTGTCTGACTTACTGTGGAGCAGGAATTAAGAGCCTGAGCTGACCTCACATTCTCTCTGACTTACTGTGGAGCAGGAATTAAGAGCCTGAGCTGACCTCACATTCTGTCTGACTTACTGTGGAGCAGGGATTAAGAGCTTGAGCCGACCTCACATTCTCTCTGACTTACTGTGGAGCAGGAATTAAGAGCTTGAGCCGACCTCACATTCTGTCTGACTTACTGTGGAGCAGGAATTAAGAGCCTGAGCTGACCTCACATTCTCTCTGACTTACTGTGGAGCAGGAATTAAGAGCCTGAGCTGACCTCACATTCTCTCTGACTTACTGTGGAGCAGGGATTAAGAGCCTGAGCGCAGGGATTAAGAGCCTGAGCCGACCTCACATTCTCTCTGACTTACTGTGGAGTAGGGATTATTCTGGGCTTCTGGGCCAAGGCCTGGGCTTTCTGTGCCCTCCCATTATGCAGTTATCGGCGTGACAATGGAAGTACACAGTCAATTTTAGATGCTATTAGGCAAAGAGTCCAGCATATACTGAGCACTCAAAAATGATAGCCCTTATTATTACCATGATAACAATAAGTAATACTATATAATTCTGGGCACTAAAGCCCTCCTGGCTGCAGATCATGCTGTGAGCTCTTGGTAGCTTGCCTGGGGCTCAGTAAGCACAAGTCTTTCTTTTGCCGCAGACTTTAAATTCCTCATGAGGTAGAGTCTATTCATTTTGCAGGTTTTTTCCTCATCGGAAGGTTGTACCCAGGACTTTTTCCACTGAACTATTGAGGCTTTTCCTATTGCACAACTCAAGAAGGATACCACCTCTTTTATCTACTCGGTTACTTCTTTCCTTCCAGAAATGGAATTAAGTTCTCATCTGCATCAGGAATTGCATTGACTCTTTTTCCCAATGACAAGGAAAGACCGTCCCTAGCCCTGCGCTCAAGTCCTGGGCAAATGGGAATGGTGGGTCCTCCAGCCCCCTGCTCCCAGCCAGCCCCCTGCAAACAATAACATCAACTGATCCTCCCCAACTAGATAATTGTAATTATTTTAATAACTGAGGAAACATTCTATTTCAGCATAAAGTCCAAGATGATATGGGGAGACACTAATTAACTAAACAGAGTAACTGAAAGTCAGTGATACATTTTAACAACTTGCTCCATACACAGAGATGAGGATACAGCAGACTTTCTTCTTTTAAAGCTATCACCTTCCCTTTCAGTGGATATAACCTAGTTTACCAAAATACAGCTTTAAAAATCCGATGTAACCCAACAAAAGGTTTAAACAGAAGTGCAAAGTTATCTCATCCGAGGTGTGAACGTTCATCTCTAATACTTTTCCACAAACAACTTTCAATTAAATGGATCTCACACCTCTTTAAATGCTCTTATGAAACATTCAGAGGCTCTTTGCGACTCGTCGTCCTGTTTGGGGGTAAATGTAAGCTAAATATACTAGTTCTCTCGTCATCTTGCTTTTGATGAACCCAAGATGGTATCTACCAAAATAAGTCAGTGAAAATAACATTTTCTCACATCTTTGTCTATCTGAAAGGATTCATCATTGGAAACAATGGTTAAGCAGACAAGTTGGGTGCTTGGGGGTTTATTTAACGACCTTGAAATTTAGAATTCTAAGTCATTCCTATGCAGAGTTCTATGGCATTACTTTAAATTGAACTCAGTTTTGAATTCTCAGGAAAAAAAAAAGTGTTATTCAAAATAATCCTGGAATGCTGGTAGTAAGTGAGACTGTATCACACCCAGAAACAAACGTAGTAGGTGAGAAGACTGTGTCACACCCAGAAACAAACTTCCACTAATTGATTGTCCAGCCCTAGGCCACGAGACCTGACAATTCTGGAAGGAAGGGGACAGTGCCCATGGTTGAGGGTGGGACATCTGGAATTACTAACACTTAGGGGCTCTGGAGAGATGTGAATTTGGTGACAAACCAAAGTTTGTTGAAAGTTTGCCCTTGGCCAGTCGCGGTGGCTCACGCCTGTAATCCCAGCACTTTGGGAGGCCGAGGTGGGTGGATCACGAGGTCAGGAGATCGAGACCATCCTGGCTAACATGGTGAAACCTCGTCTCTACTAAAAATACAAAAAATTAGCTGGGCATGGTAGCGGGCACCTGTGGTCCCAGCTACTCGGGAGGCCGAGGCAGGAGAATGGCGTGAATCCGGGAGGTGGAGCTTGCAGTGAGCCGAGATCACGCCACTGCACTCCAGCCTGGGCGACAGAGCGAGACTCCATCTCGAAAAAAAAAAAAAAGTTTGCCCTTCATGTTTAACATTCAATTTTTTCTCAAGCACAGGAAGGGAATTAAAAATCTAACTGAAGTCTTGTGAGAGGTGCTTATGTCCATGCCGTTTCCTCCTTGGAACCTCAGTAGCTGCACTCTGCTTGGGTTTCCTGCAGCTCATGTCCCGAGGGTCTCGGCGGGAGGTCCGGGTGTCCCGAGGGTCTGGGCGGGAGGTCCGGGTGTCCCGAGGGTCTCGGCGGGAGGTCCCAGTGTCCCGAGGGTCTCGGCGGGAGGTCCGGGTGTCCCGAGGGTCTGGGCGGGAGGTCCGGGTGCCCCAAGGGTCTGGGCGGGAGGTCCGGGTGAACAGATCATTTTAATTCCCTGCTGGACCATCTTGAGATGCTGCTCAACCACTTTTTATTTGTTTTGGGGAGGAGGAGTCACCTTCATGTCTAGAACCTCACTGAAAGGCTTGTAGCTGGAAGCATAGCCGAGGGTCCTTGCTGAGATGCCAGCTTCTGTTTGTGAAATGCACATACCAGGTTAATGGTGTCTCTTCTTTAGGAGCGAGGGCAGCTGGGCCCTGGGTCGGGCTTACAGAAGGGTGTCCACTGAGGTGTACTAGGGCCTCACACAGGTTCTGACCTTCTCACGCTGTCTACGATACATCTTTGACAGGAATGACACAATCTAAGACTTTTCCATAAAATTCTACATAAGTGAAAACTTAGATTGGAAGAAATTTATGGTCCAGAAAAACATCCTGTTTCCAAGCCAGTGTGCATGCTTCTGAGCCCTTTGCTGGGTTCCTGAGGCCATCCTGCCGGCTGTGTCCTGGTTGTGCCTGCCTGGGTTTGTCTGTCTCTGTCCAGTGTCAGGAATCCTCAGACCTTTCTGAAAAAGGCCACCCCGCCGGCATTGTGCCAACTCTTTCTGCAGCCTGGCATGGGTCTGTCTTCCCTGCAGGGTGGCTTCAGGCTTTGCTGCCCTTTGCTCACCCCCTGCCTCTCCAGGGTCCATGCTGAGTTAGGCTCACGAGGAAAGAGGCCGTCCTTCCAGCACGTAGGTCACCTCAGGTGAAACCAGAGAAGTCCACAGGTCTGAACTTGGAGACGGGCAACCAGTGTCGTGTTGTGTCAACAACACAACTGCTAGAGGGAGAACCTGATTCTTTGACCTTGCCTTTTACTCTGCTGACAACTAAAGGAAAAGAACTAATCTGGTGTTTAAAACAGTGTATTTTTACAATGTATCTGCCAACATAATCCAGGGGGTTCAGAAAGCTGTTGGTGCTTTGAGCTGTCACACATCCCCAGGAGAAACAAGAAGAGAAATAATCTGAATGGGAGGGGGTGAGGGGAGAAAGAGAGACAGGGGAGGAAGGATGGAAGGGAGGGAGGATGGGAGGGAGGGGAAAATGAAGTGAGTATACTAATATCCTAAGCTAAGGAAGAATAAAAAAAGCCTGGAATTTAGGTAAAGTAGCACATTTCATGTGGACGAAAACACCAGTACAGCCATTTCTTTCTCATCTGGACTCAGATATATGCTGCCGTAATGGGGATAAGGAGATGAGTTTAGAAGCCAAATTTGTGATGAGTTGCCATGGCAATGGGTACAAGCAGACTCCATATTCTGAAAAAGAACTGAGTAGTGTATGCACTGAATGTGCTTTCCCTTATACGGCCTCAGTGCCTGGAGCCATCGTGCCATTAGTAGCTTGGAAAGGGGGGGCCGTCATGTGGGAAAGGGAAGGAAGAAATGGATTCTGAACCCTTCCTTTGTACCAGGTACTTTGCTAATCTTTTAAAAGTTCTATCTCTCTTACACTTTGTAATAACTGTCAGCCTTACCTTGAAGGTTTGCCTTGCGGTCCCCCAAAATTTCATCAACACTTGGAATTGGCTGTTTGCCTAAGTGTTTCGTAAGGGAAAACCCAATGCTGTATTTCCCAAGCTCAGCCGATGCCCATGCTGACTTCAGGTTAACTGTGCTGAACTATGAGGCAGTGAAAGGCAGCCTGGGAATGAGCGCGCTCTCCTGGCTTTTCTGTAACGTGATGGTGACCCTGGAGGGCCGGGGCATCACGTGTGCTGTTGATGATTGCAGGTGAGCGAGGCGGAGATCAATGGGCAATTCGAGTCCGTGTGCGAGTCCGTCTTCAGTGAAGTTGAATCTCAGGCCATGGATGCCCTCGACCTCCCGGGATGTTTCCGAACAAGGAGTCACAGCTACCTTCGAGCCATTCAAGCCGGCTACTCCCAAGATGACGAATGTATTCCCATGATGACACCCTCTGACATCACCTCCACCATCAGGTCAACAGCAGGTAAGGGGACGCCATTTTCAGCCTTCCAGCGGGGACTCTAGAGGCATACCTGTCTTCATCCTAGAAGGAGCGAGCAGCACACAGCACCACAGTACAATGTACTCTCCTGACATCTAGTAACGTTTCCTAATTGCATGTGTTACACTGTCACATTCGCAAGGGTGTTTTGTCTCTTGTAGATAACCTTTCTTTTTCTTAGAATGAAATCTACTCATTAGCAAGTTTCCTTAAAATAATCAAGTGTAACTTGTGTAAAGTTTTAGAGAGGAGAAAGAAATGGAAGTGCTAGCATTTGGAAGGTGATTAAGTTTTAAATACCAAAGTTTAATGGATTGCAGTGAGATTTCTGCTGATGCGCAGTGACTCTCAGGCTGCCCTGTAGTGACGTCCAGCCGGTCTCTTGCTCAGTAAGCAGATCTGTAAACATGACTCACCGCCGCTAAGCAGGTCCATCATTAATGCAGATGCACTAACTATCTTAGAGCTCCGAAGACTCAGTCTCGCAATTTCCTTTAGTTCTCATGGAAAACCATACCCACCCCTTTGAAAATTTACCGCCCAACCTAAATATCACTGCCTAATATTTTACTGCCTAATATGTTATTATTTCTATAACACGATGAATACACATGGCCTAGAGAAACCCATAAAACACAGCAAGCAATAAAAGCTCGAGGCGCCGCACATAGAGGTTAAGGAAAGGAGCTATAAAAAAACATAGTGTTGGGGACTGAGGTGTTCTGAATACCAGAGGGCTTGGAATGCTGCAGCTGTATCTTAGAAATTTAAAGGACAGCTCCGAGGGGAAATAGAACAAAGCTATGTTCATGATGAATAGCATTAGGAACAGCAGACACATAACAGGAGAGAAGCAAAGAGAAATTCAGGCAGGAGTGTGTCATCATACCTGTGAATAGGTCTTGGTTTGTTTCAATGCTAAAGTGAACAAGAAATCCAGGAGATTGCACTTTGCAGAATTAGAAATTGCAGTCGGCACTATCATTGCACTTTGTGTAGAAAGTATTTCATAGTAGAGTCTGTGGATGGAAGGGAAGGAACTGTGTTCAAACCGTGTTCCATCATGTCCTCGCTGCAAGAACTTAGGCTTGTTAACGTTTCTGACTCTTGGTTTCTGCGGTATTCAAGAGAAGCTGTAGCCATAGATAATTTATTTGCATAAATTTAAAGATTATTTTTCAAAGAAAGCTGTGGATCCTCGGTGTGCTTTTTATGTGGTAGATATTTCTTCAATGCTGGCACCACTGAGCCGGGGGCTTCGGGAGAAAGGCAACAGATCCTGGCTCTCTGGCTCCCAGCAGGGCTTTCTGTACGAGGGAGGGTGGTGCCCAGGACCCACCCAAGGGAAATCCACAGGCTGACAACACATCCCCCAGGTGCAGCCACCGGGCAGCTGTGGGCACCCTGCGTAGCCTCCTGTTTTCCTCTGGTTTGGCCGGTTCTGCTCACTCCTGCCCCTTGGTGAAGTCCTGGGCCAGTTCTCATGCTCTGTCCTGATGTGAACATTGAACAAATTAGAATCAGGGAAGTAATGAGATTTACAATGATTGCATTGAAAAACAGCGGTCCAAGAGATCATTACTCATACTTTCAGCAGTATTTGTTTACTGTCTCTTAGGAGCAAGTAAACAATTAAGAACTTTCATAGTCTTCAGAAATGCTTTGAAACAATCATTACCTCGTAGAAAAGGACTTTATTGTTTTTAGGACTGTCATTATAGAGAGAATAAAAATAAAACAGATTTCACAGAGATAAGAACCAGTTCTGAGCTCAGACTAAAATTTTAATTTATATATATACAATGTTTACCATGTATATTTTGTATTCCAAAAATACACCTACCAAATAAATTACAAAAAAAAGATTCCATTCAGAGTTTCTACCGGATCTTGGCCCAGTTTTGAGTCAGAATTTCCTCTAGGTGATGCAGGGGACTGTCCAAGTTATGTGACATCTGAGAATCAAATGAGAAAAGAAATGAAAAGCACTAGGGGAAATACTTAGCACTGTAGGATTACAAGTTACCCTTGTGAAGAAATAAAAGTACAGATTAATCATTAACCTCTGCTGTTTCCCATTTTACTCTAAGTATTGTATATTAGTTATTTAAATCTTTATTTACTAAATAAAATTTAGATGACATGCAATATAGTCTATTTAGCAAGATTATGGAAAAATACCAAAGAAATGAAAACTCCCAGTCTGGGAAAACAAAATTATGGAGGAAAACTATCAACATGTACGGGATGTAGGTGCCTCGATAATTGTGATAGCTGAACTTCAAATTTCATCCAAAGTTTCCTGTCCGTGAGTCAGGCGGATTTCAAAAATTTTCTACTTAAATACTTCTGACTTTTGTATTTAAATACTTGGAAATTGATACCCTAGCACTACGTTCAATAGCTGTCATTTACTGATCCATGTATACATGTGTGTATGTGTGCGTGTGTGGTGTATGGGGAGAGAGGTTATTTTGACAGATTGATTTTCTTTTATGATTTTCTGTCTAAAACTAGCTCATGAAAATAATTCCAAAGAGTTATTTTTGAAAACATTCCAAAGTGAGTACCTTGAAGAACGAGATTTATTTAAACACATTACTTTATGCAGGCTCAAAAGGTAAAAGTTGATGTTATTATTAGATTATTTCACCTTGTATAACTACAAATGTATAATATTCATATAATAATAAATATTGAATATATGCATGAAAGATGTATTGAGAACTTAAAAATACATCTTAGACCATCTGTTTTAAACATGGACAGGTTGAGGTTCCCAGAGGACGTCTGTTGGTTTGGGGACACCCCAGTTCACCTGCTTTTTCACTCAACCTTTAAAGGCAGCTGGTGATCGAGCTGAGACAGACCCTTTTAATCTAATCACCAGGGAACTCCAGTAAGAACAGAATACCCTGTGAGGCGGTGTGAGCCACGCATATAAACGTTCCTTCGTCCCACCGTTTCTCTCATTATGAAAAACACTGCATATTGATTAGTGTCCTCCCCTTAAATGAAGTGGTTTTGAAAACATCTAACTCATTTCACACATGGTTTCTTTCTCATCTGGGAAATTATTTATCGGATTGCTTTACTTGTCCAAATATGCATCTCACCCGATTTTTCTAGGGAGGGAATATTATTGATATTGTGAAGGAAAATGGTGTAAAATTAGATTATAATGATTTTTCTCTGGGCCGGAAATTTTCTCAACATATGATACAACTGATTCTAGAAGTCATTAAAACAAAGGGAAAACCTATAGAAAGCATGGCAGAGGAAACAGCCACAGACTTATTTTATTATTTATATTTCTATAGCAACTTGTCTCTCAAGGGTACATAGTAATTCCATTTCCAAGATACATACTTGCCAACATAGAGGAGAAAAATTATCTCTATATTTCAGTACCTTGAATATAAGAGGTAGAATAACTGTTTTTCAATACTATGATTTTTGTTGCTTTTTTAAAATTTTACTTCTTTGCTGACCTTCCTCAGTTTGAATAAATATGACTATGTATTTGATTCTCCCATTTTTAGTCTTCTACAATAAAAGACAGTGTTTTACTTAATTTTATCTTGTCACAAAGAGTGGATTTTCAGGCGTGTGAGCCTGGGGAAATTTTCATCGTGGACTAAACTTGTTGCCTCAACCTTCTTCTGATACCAGGACCTGGTACCGTCGAGTTACTGTGTAACTGATATGCAAGTTTGCCTGACAAGATGGTGAGAACATATTTTAAAACTTGAATTTGAAAAAGTAGAGAATTTAAAGGAAAAGAAACTGAAAATGGATGTCAGCTGGGCTGATCATAAAACGTTTTGGCCAATAGAGTAAAGGTGATTTGAAATCACAAAATACCGCAGGGCATATTCAGGTGTGTTGGGACACACAGGCACCACTTGGTAAACCCGGCCGATGGCTGCCGAGTGCGCAGCACCCCAGGTTGGAGGGAGGAGGTGCACCCCAGAGGAGGAATACCCGTCTGGCCGCCGGCTGGCTCCGCAGGCAGGATGTCTCTGCAGACGTGCTTGCTCGGGGACCAGGTGTGCAGTGTGCAGCCTTTCCAGGTCCACATACCTCTGACCGGGCCCTTCACCCTCCTATCCTCCTTTCCCAGAGGGCTGGCAAGGAGGCCCTGCAGCCAGCTTCCCTGCGGAGTTAAAATAAAACACGCTATATGGGGAAAGGCTTTGGGAAGGACATTTAGCTCTTTACTGGAAAAATGAGCAGCTGGAGGTTCTGTGAGCCACAAAATCTGAAAACCAGAAGATTCCTCCAAACACGTCTTCTCCTTGGATCTGTCACTCTGACACAAGGGCTTTACAAATAGGCTCAGAAACTGTTGCGCGGGGCTCTCAGATGCATAGCCTCAGGTCATAGCTTTCCATAAGTCAACAGCTATGCACTGCGAGGACCAGCCTGCACACCCCACAAAGGCAACAAAAAGCTGCGTTTCAGTAAACAAATGACCAGAGGAAATGAATGAAAAAAGTCACACATGATCACTTTCCGTTTTAGAAATGTAAAAAATGAACTAGAATAAAGAACAATCATCTTATATGCCAATTGAAGATTCTAAAGAAAAGATCAAATTACATTTATGTCGTAAGCATTTATTAAGTGTTTGCTGTGTGCCGGCCGCTGCGCTAAGTGCTCTGAATCCAGAAGCACTGAAGTCCTGAGCATTGGCCCCGAAGGCCTAAAGTCTGGAAACAGTTGCAGTTGAAGAGCTCGTCAGCCATGGCACACCTGCTGGGTGCTGTGAGATGTGTGTGGATGGCTCTGGAAACCCAGGGGAAAGCCAGCACTGCAGCAGCGTCCGGGAGGCCTTCCGCCTGCAGGAAGAGTTGAGAGGCTTCAGGGCTGGGCAGCAGAAACCCAGGGAGAGGGAGGTGCCAGCCTGAAGTAATGACAAACGTCCCGAAAACCGCTGGGCACCTCAGCTCTGGGATTCGCAGGGCACCCGGCCTGGAGGGAGAGGCTGGAAGGCAGGACGGATGGGGGACATGAGCTGAGAGGGACATCCATGCTGCACCTGTAGTACTTGCACCTGCAGAATTCGGAGGTCACTGGAGGACTCTAAGCAGGAGAGGGATCTGTGGCTGAGTTGTGTTCCCCGGACTTGGTGCTGAACCCTAATCCCAGGACCTGAGAATGTGACTGCGTTTCAGACAGACCCTTCGAAGAGGTGACCAGGTAGAATGAGGTCACAGGGGGCCCAAATCCAATCTGTCCGGTGTCCTTATAAGAAGAGGAGATGAGGACACAGACATGCAGGAAGGGACCAGCTTGTGAGGACCCGGGGAGAAGACGGCATGTGCACACCCAGGAGAGGCCTCAGTTTTCCCAGCGCCTTGGTCTGGGACTCACAGCCTCCATGACATGAATCAATGTTGCTCTGTTACGGCAGCACGGGAGGACTAACACGGGGGCCAGAGTCATGTTATAATGAAGACCCGCGGCCCGGCCGTACTGCAGAAGAGCACGGAGAAGACAGCTCCTCAAATAGCACAGGTGAGAAGGGATGAGGCCGGGCTGTGCCAGGCACAGGTGCAGGAATGGCTTTCAGAGGGAGCTCCAGGGGCTCCCGGCTGAGCTCTGGGGAGCCGTGAAGAGGCTTTTAAGAGGCCTCCTGCCCCAGCCGTGGATGAGGCCCAGAAAGCCAGCATGCAGGCAGGGAGTCTCCAGGACTTCATCCAGGAAGCTGGGTCTCCCGGGGAGTCCAGGAGGAGAGGCCGTAATGATGGCTCCATTTAGGGACAGACGCAGAGAAGGCAGCGGATGCATGCAGATCCCAGCGATGGGGCTGTGCCGTTGTCTCCTCCTGCTGAAGCAACAGGATGGAGGTGATGCTGTTGCAGCCCAGAGAGCTGGGTCATGGAGTGCAGGTAAAAGAAGGGATGGCCAGTACAACCGGGGAGCCGGGATGGATTGGGATGAAGTGCCCAACAGCCCTCTCCAGCTGCTGCCTCTCAGCAGCCGAAGCCAACAGGGCCCAGCCCACAGGTGCCGAGTAGTTCAGATGTGTTGAGCTGAGGGTCCCATGACTTGCTAACCCAACTTCAAGAAGAGGTGTGGAGGTCGAGGCTGGAGGTGCGGTCCAGAGCCATGGAGCCACCCCCGAACAGGAGGGTATAGAAAGAGAAGAGGCCTGAGACCAGAGCCCACAGCGTCAGCATCGTGGGGAGAAGGGGCCTCCAGAAGGAGCAGTGGAAAGGTGGGAGCCAGGAGGGATGGGGAGGGGCCACGGAGGGGAGTTCAACACTGCCCCAGTTCACCACAGTGGGAACAGAGGCTGTCCCTGGGTCTTGGCAGTGTGGGCAGAGTCCTGGAAGGCTGCTGCGAGGCCTGAATTGTGCAGCCCCTCTATGCGGAGCAGCAGGGGTCCTGTGCCACCCCCGACCCAGGGTAAGCCCAGGTTCCTGGTGTCCATAAGCCCTGCACAAATTCAGCACAGCGGAGACCCCTGTGGGTCCTCCCAGAGACGGGCCTGGACTGAGGAACCCCTACAAAGCAGGTGTGTTTGTCTCATATTTGCAGCTGTAAAAATGGTCACAAGCCCTATGGTCTCCAGCAGCACAGATGTGCCGTCTCACAGTCACAGAGGTTAGAAGTCTAAAGTAGGTTCTGTGGGGCTAGCGTCAAACATCAGGTCGTTCTGGAGGCTTCCGGGGAGCCCGCTCCTTGCCTCCTCAAGCTTCTGGAGTTCTCTGCCGTCCTTGGCTGCGGGCCACATGGCTCCAGCCTGGGCCTCCATTGTCCAAGCCTCCTCGTCTGACTCTGACCCCCTCCCTTCCTCATGTAAGGACCCTGGGGATAACACTGGGCCCACTGGGATGATCCAGGATCATCTCCCCATCTCAAAATCCTGAATTTACTCACATCTGCAAAGTCCCTTTTGCCACATAAAGTACCATGGTCACAGGTTCTGGGGACTAGGATGCGGACATTTTTGGAGGGGCGTTATTCTGTTTACCATAGTAGGTTTCGGTAAATACTGGTAGAGTGCATGAATGAATGAGGTCTTCTCTGAAACCGAGCCCAGTATAAATGGTGACATCCTTCAGGCACTGACCCAAGGGGAACCCATTTCTCTTCTAGGAGTATTACACAAATCCTTGTCGTAAATCCAGGTTGATCCTGATGAAGAGGAGCCAAATCTGGCTCGGGCTGATGGACGCTGTGTGCAGGCTCAGAGTTCACCCTGGGAAGCCCAGGTGTGCTGCCCCGTGGGTCCTCAGTGTCAGACCTGCTGCTGAAGGGAAGCCCAGGCGTGCTGTCCCATGGGTCCTCAGTGTCAGACCTGCTGCTGACATCACGTCTCCAACCCCGCAGCACAGCGTAGTCCAAATGCCAGAAACCTGGCAACAACGATATCGTGCGGGAGTCGGTCCGAGATGTCCCAGGGAATCTGAACGTCTTCCCAGCCGCTCAGGATGTCTCTGATTGTCATGATCCCCATTAGAACGTCTCAGAAACTGCCAACCACCATGGCTTCCATGAAGCCCCAAGAATCCTTCAGCAAAGCTCCATGTTGCAAACTAAAGCCCAGGGTGTGCATCATGAAGACGCCATCCCTGTGTCCCGGGTTCAGAGGCTTGTACCCGGGACTCGGGCATGAGACCCCATTACGGGCCTGAGCACAGCACCAAGACCGTCAAACGCTAAAAACAGGCACAGGTGGAAGTCTCACGTGGCCCGCCCCCCCGCATCTAGACTTGTGTTTTACAGTAAATGACGAAATGCAGTCCAGATACCTAAAAGATGAAAACTAATCTTTGTGATTTTCATTGTCTTTGATTTATTTGAACTACAGCCAAAGCCTTATGTACTTTATCCGTTGTGCGCTAAGCCTATAGGATGAGTGGATGAAAGCCGGTTGGCCCTGGGGACCGGTAGGGAGAAGCCGTGGCAGAGCACAGTCTCTGCGGAGAGGAGGGAGACCCAAGCTCTCCTGGCTGTGGGGAAGGAGAAGCCCTGGGAGACACGGGTAAGGGTCGGGTGTCGGAGTTAGGACAGGAGCCCCTGGTCTGTGCTGTAGAGAAGGAGTGGAACCAGCTCCCAGTAAGGGTTTCCAAAGGTTAAATACTTGACACCTCTGTCTAGAACAGACATGACAGACGAATCACGTGCCTCCCGGTTTGCAGAAGGCGAGCGTGATGCAGATAAATCGTGCATCTGTATCAGGAACTGCATATGTAAGCCAGAATTGCTCGGGTGAGAACAAATGTGTTCATAAAGATTTTCCCCAAGTGTGTAGCCTGCTCTTCCCTTCAAAACCACCGTTTTCAAGTAATTTGTGTCCTTCTCTTATAAAATCCTCCTGTCTGCGTACTTAGACTGGAATTACAACATGAATGCTGGGATGATCTCCCAGGTAATGAGATTTCAAGATGAAGCTGTCATTGAACAAGTGAACTTGTCTAGACGAATTAATCATAATACGAATGAAACTAGAGCCACGGGTTCCTGACTCATAGTCCAGGGCTCTTGCAGTTGACAACGATCTGCGTCTGTCCTATGGCTCTGTCTCTTCCCTGAAGTAGGGGTACATTTGGAGGGACATGTGTATGGGGATGGAGTCAGAAGTCCAGTGAGGACTTCCACATTGTTGTCCTAAGAGTAACAGTTACTGTAAGAAAGGATTCCTAATTGGTCATTTAACATCTTATCACCCAGAAAAGTAATGGCTGAAATAAATAATTGATGCTTGCATAAGTCAGTAGGTGAATAAATTAGTCATTTCAGGTTTTCAGATATTGTGGAGATGGAAGTACTGTTGAATCTGCCTCCCATACCCCTCGAACCCGCCGGTCCTCACCTGTGTCACCCTCCAACCCGCCGGCCCCCACCTGTGTCACCCTCGACCCCGCCGGTCCTCACCTGTGTCACCCTCCAACCCGCCAGCCCTCACCTGTGTCACCCTCGACCCCGCCGGTCCTCACCTGTGTCACCCTCGACCCCGCCGGTCCTCACCTGTGTCACCCTCCGACCCGCCGGTCCTCACCTGTGTCACCCTCCGACCCGCCGGCCCTCACCTGTGTCACCCTCCAACCCGCCGGCCCTCACCTGTGTCACCCTCGAACCCGCCGGCCCTCACCTGTGTCACCCTCCAACCCGCCGGCCCTCACCTGTGTCACCCTCCAACCCGCCGGCCCCCACCTGTGTCACCCTCCAACCCGCCGGCCCTCACCTGTGTCACCCTCCAACCCGCCGGCCCTCACCTGTGTCACCCTCCACCCCGCCGGCCCTCACCTGTGTCACCCTCCAACCCGCCGGCCCTCACCTGTGTCACCCTCCAACCCGCCGGCCCCCACCTGTGTCACCCTCCAACCCGCCGGCCCTCACCTGTGTCACCCTCCAACCCGCCGGCCCTCACCTGTGTCACCCTCGACCCCGCCGGCCCTCACCTGTGTCACCCTCGACCCCGCCGGTCCTCACCTGTGTCACCCTCGACCCCGCCGGTCCCCACCTGTGTCACCCTCGACCCCGCCGGTCCTCACCTGTGTCACCCTCCAACCCGCCGGCCCTCACCTGTGTCACCCTCCAACCCGCCGGCCCTCACCTGTGTCACCCTGGAACCCGCCGGTCCTCACCTGTGTCACCCTCGAACCCGCCGGTCCTCACCTGTGTCACCCTGGAACCCGCCGGCCCTCACCTGTGTCACCCTCGACCCCGCCGGTCCTCACCTGTGTCACCCTCGACCCCGCCGGTCCTCACCTGTGTCACCCTCCAACCCGCCGGCCCTCACCTGTGTCACCCTCCAACCCGCCGGCCCTCACCTGTGTCACCCTGGAACCCGCCGGTCCTCACCTGTGTCACCCTGGAACCCGCCGGTCCTCACCTGTGTCACCCTGGAACCCGCCGGTCCTCACCTGTGTCACCCTCGACCCCGCCGGTCCTCACCTGTGTCACCCTCGACCCCGCCGGTCCTCACCTGTGTCACCCCTCGAACCCGCCGGCCCTCACCTGTGTCACCCTCCAACCCGCCGGTCCTCACCTGTGTCACCCTCGAACCCGCCGGCCCCCACCTGTGTCACCCTCCAACCCGCCGGCCCTCACCTGTGTCACCCTCGACCCCGCCGGCCCTCACCTGTGTCACCCTCGACCCCGCCGGCCCTCACCTGTGTCACCCTCGACCCCGCTGGTCCTCACCTGTGTCACCCTGGAACCCGCCGGTCCTCACCTGTGTCACCCTCGACCCCGCCGGTCCTCACCTGTGTCACCCTCGAACCCGCCGGTCCTCACCTGTGTCACCCTCCAACCCGCCGGCCCTCACCTGTGTCACCCTCCAACCCGCCGGCCCTCACCTGTGTCACCCTCGACCCCGCCGGTCCTCACCTGTGTCACCCTCCAACCCGCCGGTCCTCACCTGTGTCACCCTCGACCCCGCCGGTCCTCACCTGTGTCACCCTCCAACCCGCCGGCCCTCACCTGTGTCACCCTCGACCCCGCCGGTCCTCACCTGTGTCACCCTCGACCCCGCCGGTCCTCACCTGTGTCACCCTCCAACCCGCCGGCCCTCACCTGTGTCACCCTCGACCCCGCCGGCCCTCACCTGTGTCACCCTCCAACCCGCCGGCCCTCACCTGTGTCACCCTCCAACCCGCCGGCCCTCACCTGTGTCACCCTCCAACCCGCCGGCCCTCACCTGTGTCACCCTCGACCCCGCCGGTCCTCACCTGTGTCACCCTCGACCCCGCCGGTCCTCACCTGTGTCACCCTCCAACCCGCCGGTCCTCACCTGTGTCACCCCTCGGGGCTGAAACCATTTTAAGTGCTCACCTGGGTGCCTCCTCAGCCTCCAGGGGCCTGGCAGGACTTCCCACCCACTCTCCATCCTGCCTGCAGGACATTCTTGCGAAAAAGGCAGCCTGACCCTAAGCCCGCCCGACCAAGAGCCTCGTCTCGGCTCTGTGCAAGAGCCAGAGGAGTGAAGACTGCCGTCCTCTGTGGGGTTGCAAACCCCAGTGACCCGGCCCCACCAGACGGCCCAGCTGCCCTCTCGCTCCCACCCGCTCCCAGCCAGTCTTCCTGAAATTCTCGCACCTCCATGCCTCTACGGCTGCTGCTCGTCGGCCCGCAGTTTCTTCCTTGAGTTTCTGCCTGAGTCCTAGCTGTGCTTTAAGCCCCAGCTCAGGAATCATTTCTTCAAGGAAGCGGCAGAGACGCGCTCCTGATCTGATCAGCGTCTGCACGAAGCACGGCTTCTGCTCCTTCCCACTCCCTGACCAGGAGCTCCAGCCACATAGCACATTTACTGAAACAAACAGAATCTCGATGTACATTTAAAATGTACTTATCTTTTAAAGACATAAAAACATTAGATGCCAAAATATCTAGGCCATGGCAGAGAATTATGTTTATTATTTGTATGCCATTACATTGTCTCAGGAATATATTTAAAATGTAGTGACACCATGGCTTTTACTCTAACAGGATGTTCGTCTAAAAAGCATTACATTAAAAACAAATTATTTAGATTCATAAAATTAAAAATATTCTGAAAACATTGAGAAAAAAATACTTTTGCTCTCTTAGGGAAAAAAAACTAGAGTGATGCTTTTAAATGAAATTACTTGCTGGGCACAGTGGCTCACGCCTGTAGTGCCAGCACTTTGGAAGGGTCACTTAAGGCCAGGCATTCAAGGTTAGAGAGAGCTCTGATGGCACCACAGCACTCTAGCCTGGGTGACAGCAAGACCATGTCTCTAATGAATGAATCAAATGAATGAATCAAATGAATGAATCAGATGAATGAATGAATGAAACAGAATCATTCAACATCAGTACAGACCACCTTTGACTTAAAGATGGTTGGACTTACAATTTTTTAACCTTATAATAGCGTGAAAATCATCCACATTCTGTAGAAACCATACTCTGAGTGCCCACACAACCATTCTGTTTTTCACCTTCAGTACAGTGTTCCATGAATTCGAGGAGATAGTCAACACATTATAAAACAGGCATTAAGTGAGACGATGTTGGCCAACTGCAGGCCAGTGTCAGTGTTATGAGCTTATTAGGAGTAGGCTGGGCTAAGTTACGATGTTTGGTGGGTTAAATGTATTAAACGTGTTTCCCACTTACGATGTTTTTAGTGTATGATGGGTTTGTGGGGACATAATCCCATTGCAAGTTGAGGAGCATCTGTATATTTATTTTTTCCCTGTAATGATGCAAAATATGGATTATATGGAGTCACATTTGAAATATTTAAAATGTGATCATGAAGTCCTATATATACATTTGTGTTGGTTGATTATCCAGACAATAATCTTACAGGTACTATGTATTACCTTAAAAGGTTGTAATTTATTTGCTACTTTTATAACTTGAAATTTTCTTCCTTTGCTTCATGGGTTTCAAGAGTCATTGACATGATTTAATAGGATATTTTTGGACTTAAACAAAATTGCTTCCTGATAGGTATTCCTAGATCCCAGAGAGTTAACCTTAAAAAGATCTTTTTCCTGTGAAGCATCACATGGAAATGAAAGGGGAGTGGACGTCTTGCTCCCAACACGTCATATTCCAGCCTTGTCTTTCCCGTTCAGTTTGCGAATGGTTAGGTGATGTTTGCCATTGGTGGTGGAGGCCGAATAATGCCGCACAGTTCTCTGTATGATAGTGTGATGGTGGAGTTCATGTGGCAACTTGACTGGGCCATGGAGTGCCCAGATATCTGGTTAAACATTATTGTGGGTGTGTCTGAGAGGGTGACTCTGGATGAGGTTAGCATTTGGAGGGGTGGACGGGGTGAAGCAGATGCTTTCCCCAGTGTGGGTGGGCCACGTCCTATCTAGTGGAAGAAACAAAACAGCTGACTCTTCCATAGAGAGAGGGAATTCCTCCTGCCTTTGAACTGCGACTTGCACCATGAGCCCGCCCAGATCTCCAGCTTGCCACTCTCCCTGCAGATCTCGGAACTCGTCAGCCTCATTGACGACAGGAGCCAATTCCTTATCCTCTTTCTCTGTAGTATTCACCTGTGTCTCTATTGTCTGTCTCTTCCTTACCATCTCTCTCTATATGTGTTCATCTATATCTCTATCGTCTGTCCATCCATCCCACCCATGTTCCATTAATTCTGTTTCTCTGAAAAGCCCCAACTAATATCATACCCTTAAAGGGTATTTTTTCAGGTTCTGTATTTAAAATGATCAGAGAATTTACTAAGAGAATTCTCACCATCAGCTCTTCACACTGGAAAACAATTTGAAAATTAAAAAGCTAGGTCAGAAACTTCAGTCCTTGTAGCTGTGTTGGGGGAATGTTCATTAAAATAAAGGCCGCTGTCTCAGTGTCAATGTGCTGTTTGAAAACAGGTGTCAGAGGCACAGTCTCTGCTGACAGGTCGAGGCTGGCACTGCTGGGACAGGTCACTAGTTAGGCTGGTGTGTCAGGAGTGAAGGGGGCCAGAGGGCAAACGGATCAAAATCCCCTCTGGAAAGGAGAACCCAGGTGGGCTTGGAAAGCCAGCGTCGAAAACTTTTGTCCCTTCTTCTAATCAGCGTCTGTCACCACAGAGAAGTGATGGAAAGGCCAGAGAAGCGTCGGAAAGGCCAGGGCACAGGGCAGAGGCAGAGGTGAGCAGACAGTGGAGGAGGATCCAGGACTTCAGCAGACACAGGGCTCAGGCTTTGGCTCATCTGACAGCGGTGCCGGGGCATGGAGGCCACCACCATTGAAGGCCTGTGGACTGATGGTTCCAGGGACAGAGTCCTCTGTGAATTTCCAGCAGGACACTGCAGTGAGACTAGTGCAGACAGTCCCCCAGCTGGTTGCTGGATCTGGAACTGAAGTCTCCAAGCTAGAGTCCATGACCCCAAGGGAACCCTAGCGTAAGGTATTCATGAATTCAGGGCTGCTCACAGTTAGATGGGATAAAAAGTGTGTCTTTATCCTGGCTAACACGGTGAAACCCCATCTCTACTAAACAAAACACAAAAAATTAGCCAGGCGTCGTGGTGGGTGCCTGTAGTCCCAGCTACTCAGGAGGCTGAGGCAGGAGAATGGAGTGAACCCGGGAGGCAGAGCTTGCAGTGAGCCGAGATCGCGCCACTGCACTCCAGCCTGGGAGACAGAGAGAGACTCTGTCTCTAAAAAAAAAAAAAAAAAAAAAAAAAAAAAAAAAAAAAAAGTGCATCTTTATCTTCACTAACTTTCACTAACTTGAATTTACAATTTCCTTCCATTATGAATGCAGACAGCAGAACACATTCCTATGAGATTCATGCTAACAATATCAAGATAGCTTATCATCACTGAAGAGTTCTTGCAATGGTCTGGAAACACCACCCTCCCCACGCTTGAGGCTGCAGGAGCTGCCAGTCCCCTGCCGGGTCTCTGTCTCATTGCATGCCGGCTGCTATAAGGAAGCGTCATAGCCTGCCTGGCTTATGAACCCCAGAGATTTATCTCTCACAGTTATGGAGGCTGGAAGTCTGGGGTCAGGGTGTCCAGTGTGGGCAGCCTCCTTGTTCATAGGCAGCAGCTTTTCCCTGCGTCCTCACATGGTGGAAAAAGCGTGAGGAAGTTCCCTAGGATCCCTTTATAAAGGCACGAATCCCTCATCCTGCCCCCAGACAATCCACAAACCCACGGTCACAGACGTCGGTCATCTCTTCCACATTTCATGTCACTGCCATGCCCAAGGCCTGTGGCGATAAGCCAGATGAGTTTAAATTAACCCGTGCGTGTACCGTGCCACACCAGGCTCAATAAATATTGGTTCAACGTATGAGTGAGTGATTTGAAAATTTACAGTTGATAAGCTCTTTAATTCCTTTTCTATTGAGAGTTTGTCCTAACTTAGAGGACTCTGACGTTTAAGTTATAAACTCCACTGTGCTCGGCTGTTAGCCTTGGCATCGACTTGAGCCTTTTTCTGTAGAGTTCCTTTCTGAGGACAATACTTACTCAGGGGCACCCATGCATCCTTATCAGATGTTCTATGTGGACATGATTCAATTATCTATAACCGACATGTGCAAGAAATAACATTTTTTTTTAAATCAACTTCCATTCTAAGTTCCCACCCCTCCTGCGTGGTGTACTGTGAAATTCAGCCTCTGTCATTTCAGGTTAAACCCAAGGCAATACCAAAACCAGGACTCCCAGGAGGTTTGGAGGCATCTGGGAAGCCTCCTGGTCATAGGCCATTGGTCCCCTCATTGGTCCCCTCCGGCTGTTATGAGATCCCCAGGTCCCCTTCTGCATGAAGGATTCGCTCAAGTCTGCAGACCTTCCCTGGGGCATGATCAGGACAGGGGCCGTGTTCTGCAGCTGCTCAGAGACCCGCAGGTCCCCTTCTCTGGCTGTCATCATTCCCAGCTTCCGGCCTCTTTCCTCCTCTCCCTGAGCCCCTGGTCCCCTCAGTCATGTCTCTACTGAGTACAGGCTTTTGTGAAAGTCATGGTGATCTTTGCCAATGGAGAGGATATCGTGGGGTTGGCTTCCTCCCATAGAAATCTCTGAAAAGAAGAACCGCTGATCTCACTTGAAATGGGAAGAATTGTGGGGAAAACCTACAAATCCTATCACAAAGGTTTATTCTGCAACGTGAGTGGAGTGCAGGCGTTTCCCAGATCGGCAGCCACCACGAGGTCATCCTTGGATGGCGTCTGAACACATGTCTGGGGAGAGGTCCGGAGGGGCCCAAAAAATCATTGCCTGTGATGCTTCAAAATTTAACTTTATTCTCCAGAAAAGTAAAAATTATCCAGGTGTATACATTGAATTTGAATAACTGCCTTTACCTAAAGCTTAAGATGTCCAAAAGCCAATGCTATATATCAAAAATATTTTTAAACTGAAGCAAAAACCCAACCAGTAAATTCTTTTTGTTTCTTCAAAGCTACCAGAACACTCAATACCCAGTGTCTAAATTCTTTTTGCTTCTTCAAAGCTACCAGAACACTCAACACCCAGTGTCTAGTCATTGCTATTTATATTCTCAGCAGTGGTGTTGGGCTAAACAGAATTTATTTAGGCCATTTTAATGTTCCCAAAATTAAAGCAAGAGATTAAATGAGAATGATTACTCTGAATTAATCTTTGAACCCTTTTTCAAACACCAAAAATGCAGAGTGCTAGAAATTTAACTGGCAAGTTTGGTCTATGGTTTTAGGTACTTGGATGGTGAGATCTGTATCACTACTGATATTTTCCAATGACATAGAAGGTGGCAACAAAATATAGTAAGGAAATAGTTATATAGGAAGGAAATATCTATGAAGGTAGGAAAAATACTCCTTTCTAAAATATTTAATTATATTGGATTTATTTCATCCTAACATAGGTATTAAGATAGAGGATCGTGCTGTGCTTTTTAAACGTAAGTCATGGGAAAGCTTTGAAAATCCCAGTGGATTCATCATGGGGAATATTTGTATCTCTATTTATTTATTTATTTGGTTTTGGAAGCCAGGAAGGAAAGAAATAAAGAATGGAATGATGGATCATATCAAATGTTACCATGAGTACAAGGAAGATAAAGAAAAAGAAAAAGATTCATTAGCTAAGGCAGCTGAAAGATCATGGTTGACATAGGCAACTGCAGATTCATGGAATTTCTGGAGAAAAAGCCCCACACCTTAAATATGCGGGCAGGTTACATTTCCAAGTCTTTCAGTGGCAGGATATGCTCCTACTCTCTTTCTGTAATAAAAACGAGTATTTCTGGTATCCATTTATTGGTTTACAGCAGGTCATTACTTTATAACCATTTCGATCAATTACACAATCAATTGAACAAACTCACAAATATGTATTTAGTACCTGATGTGTATAAGATAATGGAGAGGTACTTTATAAAAGGAAAGGAAACAGAATTGGAAATAGATTTAGAAGCTCCATATACATGAAGAGATAATCATGTTCAAAAACTTTTGTCCCTTCTTCTTATCAGTGTTGGATGATTATAAACTGTCCTATGATTCATAAAATAGTCAAAATTGCTGTCTCTTCTAAATATTGACAGCATAAGCTTAGATCTTGATGTAATTATAAGGCACAGGAGTGGTCTCTCACACGCTTATTCTGTGTGTGCGATAAAACGGAGGTTTTATCTGTGAGGGTATTCTAAAACACCCGTGTTATCTGGCAGATGGCGCTTAACAGAAATGAATTATTTGTCCTCTTCGGCTATTCCAGAAAAAGATACTGGGTGCTTTTCAAAAGATCCTCAGAATCTGCATCTGCATTTCTTGACCAAGAAGACAGAAGCTTGGGTGACAGTTGCTGGAGCAGAGATGGGAGGAGAGTAGACACAGAAGCTTGGGTGACAGTTGCTGGAGCAGAGGTGGGAGGAGAGTAGACACAGAAGCTTGGGTGGCAGTTGCTGGAGCAGAGGTGGGAGGAGAGTAGACACAGAAGCTTGGGTGACAGTTGCTGGAGCAGAGATGGGAGGAGAGTAGACACAGAAGCTTGGGTGACAGTTGCTGGAGCAGAGATGGGAGGAGAGTAGAGACAGAAGCTTGGGTGACAGTTGCTGGAGCAGAGATGGGAGGACGGTACGGACATTCCTGCCATTGCTGCTGCTTCTCATGTCTGCCTCCAGCATCTACCACCAAGAAAACCCCTGCTCAGCGGAATTTTGGGATTACATGGGGAATAATATGGGGAACTGTGCTAACAGATACGTGTATGCACTTTCTCAAACGTACCATCCAGCGTCCACATTCTGAAGATAAACAGGTTTACCAATTCTTTGCAAACACTCAGATACCGTATTTCTTCCTCCCCACCTCTGCCTCACAGCAGAAGGGCCAGGACTGAAGCAAGAGCCACACACATATGTGGCTGGAAATGTTGACCCACCAGATTCTGTGTGTTCTGTGTGGCCCTTCTTCACAGGGTGCCCTGAGCCCAACCGAATGAAGCGCTGGCCCCGTCAGCAGCCATGGTCACGTCCACTTGGAAGTTCCAAATCCCGAGGTTCCTGCAGAGAGCAGCTCTCTGCTGTGGCACCAGCTGCTGGTGAGGGATCCAGCTCCCCTAGTTACCTCCCCCATCACCAAGAGACTGGAAGTTCCTGGCATACAACATAGGCTGAGATCCTCAACTGAGCTGCTTCTCTAAAGCAGGGGCAGCGGGCATAGCTCCAGCACATGGCGGCTGGGGCGTCCATCCCTTCTGGAATATGCCCTGCCATGACCACCCCACTCCTGCCGGGCTCCTGCCTGGCCCACAGCTCCAACGGCTTAAGCCCCTAGCTCCGTTCTCTGCGTTCACAGAACCACCACGGGCTGTGTAGCCCTCCCCATGTGAAATAACAGGGGAAGATGTCTGACTTACAAGGCAACTGCCAGGCAGCAAAAATCCTTCTGATTGTATTTTCCATCTGGGTATGTGCTCATCAGAAGTAAATTTGAAAAGTTAAAAAAAAACGAAGTGATGGAGGGACACAGTCTTGTGTGTGACCACCCGAGGCAAGCCCCGCCTGCACCTCTGGTCAGACATTCCTCAGCGCCAGCCAGCCTTTGCATGAGGCAGCATTCAGAGCCTCGTCGGAGCCGGGCTGGGCAGGCAGCCTGCCCCAGGCACCTACACAGCTCGTTTCTGCAAGCCCCACTTGCCCAGTGAGGCTTTCTCTTTTTCCTTGAGAATTAAGTTGGTTTTTTTCTGGTCATACACTCTTTAACATGCAGGTGTAGAATTAAGAGATATTTGTGTTTCTTTCCTAAATGATTCCATAAACCTGGTGCTAAGGAACTATTACATTAGACCCTTGGTGTAGGCAGCAAAGGAGATTGGGTTTTACGCACACCGAGGTTCTCACGTGAAGATGCTAATGACATTCCTCCTGGAGTGTGTGTGAGCCCACCACGTTCCTCATCCTGTTATGTATATTTTAGTAATCCGTTCCATTCATTGTGAGTCTCTCCCCTGGCTAGAATATAAGTTCCACAGGGGCCGGGTTTTCCTCGCTGCTGAATTCCCGTGCCTAGAACAGTGCTTGGCACATAGTAGATAGAAATGTTTGTTGATTTATTTAGTGAAAAAAAGGAACAAATGAATGAATAAGAAGGATTCTCTCTCTGTGTGAACTACTACCTTAGCACTCCTGCCCACTTGCAACTAACCCTGGTCTTGTGAGTGATATTTCTGAGTTTCCAGGAGAGCAGAGACAAGGTAGAGAATAAAACCCTCTGTCAGGTCAACGACACCTAGGAAGTGGTAGGCGGTCCGTAGATTTTTGGGGACATGTACATGGATGAATCAGTCCTTTCTGTGCACTTATGTAAAACTTATTTTCATTCCTTATGGAATTTGCATCGTCTGTTTCTGTCATTCTTGAAGTCAAGGTCAGATCTTTATTTTAAAATAAAGAATAACATGCGAGACAGACAGTAATGAGACCAGCTGGAGAACCAAAATGTTATGAGCAGTTTCTGAAAAGCAAAGTAAATTGCCTCCTTGGTCTATGTATCATCCCATCAGCGTTCGTATCTCAAGGCTGTGCCACAGATGACTCATTGTGCAATTATCTTGCCAGCCTCTCCGGTCCATATGCCCTTTGCCTTGGGCCCATGAGAGTCTCAATTTCCTGGTGACCCAGAGGACTGTCATGGGCCTTTCTCTATTTTGTTAGAAGCTCTTCATTTTCAGGGTACCACTGTAAATGGGGGATTTGAAACACATCTATTTCGACGATTAGGATGAAGAAGGAGTGCCCAGTTGCTGCCAGGCCTGGAGATACTGTGGCATCGCGTTGGTTCTTAGTGCTGGCCCTGTGGGTGGGGTAGGGAGCCGACAATCCTCACCACGCAGATGCTGCCAGGCCTGGAGACACGGGCAGCACGTTGGTTCTTGGTGCCTGGAGACACTGGCATTGCATTGGTTCTTGGTGCTGGCCCTGCGGGTGGGGTAGGGAGCCGACAATCCTCACCCCGCTCACTGGGAGGCTGCAGGTGCCTGGGGTCATAGGGCTTCCTGTGGCGGGGCCAGAACCGAGCCCGGGTATCCCGTGGCCATCCCACACCCTCACTGCTCTCAAGGCTGCCGGCTTCCTGGCCCCACAGGTGTCGTTCATGCTCAGCTAGCTCAAACTGATGCTTACTGATCCACATAGGCTCTGGAGGTTCACAGAGCAACTTCAGTGCAAGGAGCCCTGATTTATTGGCAGGACCAACGGCAGCCCTCTGATGGGTCCGTCTCTCAGATCCGTGGGCAGAGGGCAAGTCAGGATGTTTGGGCTGTAAATTGCAGGGGTGGATTCCTGTATTTGCTTGGGCTGTGAACTGCAGGGGCGGACTCCTGTATTTCCTTTTCCATTAGGGTCACCTTAAGATTGAGATTATGACATCCATAGTGTGGGTTTGGGACCTTCCAACCTTCTGATCAAGCTTTATGGGAGACGTTGACATGATTTAGGATATATTCATTTGACTCTGAGGTGTAAGTCAGAGGTAACACGGTCTTAACTCTTGTCAGTTGCCTTTGCTTTATTGTTTTATTAATTTTTTAATTGAAGGTCACTTCCTTATCCTTAGAAAGAGAGACATTAGTAACTTCAGGTATGTTAGTTGACGGATCAATGTCTGCGCACTCACTATTTGCCATGTGCATGGTAAAAATAAACTCTCATCATCAAATAAAATACCACCTACAGAATTAGCCCTCCCTTGAAATCTTGGTAGTAAAGATTTCATTCTGATACAACTTCAGTATAGATGTCATTCACAATTAGGTGTCCCGTGTACACACATGCACACATGGAGAGACACACTGACTGTGAAGATGTGTAACAAATGCTACCTCCTGTACAGTTCACAGCATCTCAAAAAACAGGCCCACCAGCATCCTCCAGTTCTTGGTCTTTTCATTTTTCCACTGGAAAAATTATTCCTTTCAAACATGTTTTCATCTAAGAAGCTTTGCATTCTTAAAGAATTGGAACATGGCCGGGCATGGTGGCTCACGCCTGTAATCTCAGCACTTTGGGAGGCAGAGGCGGGTGGATCACCTGAGGTTGGGAGTTCGAGACCACCCTGGCCAACATGGTGAAACCCCATCTCTACTAAAGATACAAAATTAGCCAGGCATGGTGGCAAGCGCCTGTACTCCCAGCTACTCGGGAGACTGAGGCAGGAGAATTACTTGAACCCAGGAGGCGGAGGTTGCAGTGAGCTGCGATCATGCCATTGCACTCCAGCCTGGGTGACAAGAGTGAAACTCCATCTCAAAAAAAAAAAAAAAAAAAAGAATTGGAACATAATTGTGTCCTACTTATCAATTGGATTGGGAAGGAGCCAAACTATGTTGCTGATATGTTTCTGTTTTTTGTGTGTGTTGATGTCAAATCATCCTAAAAGTCAGTGTGCGCCATCACTGATGATGCATTCCTTTTCTGGGTTATCCTTTAGTTTTGTTACCTGGCCCTTTGAACATTCAAAATTCTATACTTAGAAACATGTGACTCTTCCGTTCACTAAACGTTGATTCATTCTCAGTGTTCTTCAGAAAATACAAGTTCTCGCCGTGTGATGTGATGTTCAAACCTTTTCAATGGAAACAGGAAGTGTCTCGAACAGCAGAGCAGCTGACATCACTTCATTTTACTGTCTACATGTTAAATGCTGGTGAGACTATAATTTCTTGCTAATTAACACATTCAAAATAGACATCTTTGCTGCTAACCTATCAACGTTGCCCCAGAACTTGTGGGGCCCACATAATTTCTTGTAACTTCAGGAAAACCATTGTGTGTATGCTTGTGGGTTGTGACTTCTGTGTCCTGTCTGATTTATTCTTCTGTTTTGTGACTAGCATTAATTAAAGTGTCAAAATGGCTTTGATCCTCTATGTTGAATCTTTTGCCTTGAAAGTTTAGTTTGTCCAATATTCATTCTCTCATTCAGACAGTCATGGGCTTGATGACTGTAATTCCTTTTATGCTATCATCCTTGAAGTTCTAATTAAGAGAGTGCAATGAATGCAAGTGTGGCTGTTACATTCAAATAGAATGGCAATGCTTGCCATTCAAGGGATATTTTATCTTGATTACGTATTTGTGCCTTATACGATGGAATGCTAATTTTCAAATTCCCGTTTGGTTTGCAAATGACTTTCAAGCATTGAATTCAGAAGTGGTGTCCAGAATTCCAGGTGTAGAAGGATAATTAAACATGTGTTTAAAGCGATGATGGATTCACATTTGCGATTCCTCAAAGCCATGGGAAGTGTAGATTGTGGAGCAGTTTCTTTCATCTCATTCACACGAGCTTCTTTCCAGTAAAATGCTTTGGTCCAAAATCTCCTCCACGAGGTTGGCTAACTCAACACCTTGAAGACCTGAAGGACCTTCATGATCAGAGTCCTCTGCTTCATGTGCTGTGTTAGAACACTCAGGGAACTATGTCCAGACATGGCCTCTTCATGCAGGACATGTCCTAGACAGCGCTGCCAGCACAGCCGTCATGATGAGGAAGATGTTCCACGCTTAGGCAGGCCAGCGTGGTAGCTGCTGGCCGCACCTGACCATGACCAGTGGACACACAGCGTGTGCCGCAGAGGAACCCAAGTGTAATGGTATTTTAGGTGTTCAGATATTTTAGAATATTGGAGGCCAGGTGTGGCATCTCACAGCTGTAATCCCAGCACTTTGGGAGGCCAAGGCGGGCAGATCACCTGAGGTTGGGAGTTCGAGACCAGCCTGTCCAACATGGTGAAACCCCATCTTTACTAAAAATATAAAATTAGCCAGGCGTGGTACCGCGTGCTACTTGGGAGGCTGAGGCTGGAGAATTGCTTGAACCCGGGAGGCGGAGATTGCAGTGAGCTGAGATCGTGCCACTGCATTCCAGCCTGGGTGACAGGGCAAGACTCTGTCTCAAAAAAAAAAAAAAGTTTGAGCCATTTGTTGTGGCCAGTAGCTAAGTTATTGGTCAGGGCAGTCTAGAAAGGAGCCTTTCTGACACAACTGTGGTAAACCTAAGAATGTAGGCATTTTCAATGGGTAGCAGTCTCCCACCCCTTCACTCTGCCAACACTGCAGCCACCACTGCGTATTTGTCAATTGTGCCATCTCCCCTTCTGACAGTCCTTTTGACTCCAGATATTTGGGCAATTTTTTCAGAAGGGGTTTGCAAATGAGGTGGGCTCAATTCCAGATACATCTGAGGAAAGTCAGTTTTTACACACCTCTTCCCTGCCCCATTTATTCAGCTCTAACAGGGAGGGACCCATCCACCTGAATACATTTCCTTTAAGCATCAACACTCTTCATTTCATGCAATTTTTATGGAATTCTTCCTAAAACTTACTGTATGTGTGGCTCTCTCCATCCTAAGTAGTGTGATTAACCTTTTCTTCGTGCCCCAAGTCATTCCATTGGCCTCAGAGTACTCAAGAGGCAAAGCATTTTACACAGTTCCTTCTGATCACAACCCCATTATTCTCAGAGTGACACCAACTTATGCGATCCCTGTGAAACAAACAAAATCCAAACCAATTCAGTAATTGAATTACAAAGCCCAGGTATGTTTTCATCTATTTCCCTGTAATTTGGAAGACACTTAAAAAAAATCATCAGGGATTTTATAGTGTTGTTTACATGGTAAAAGAAACCAATGCTAGGCTTTAAAAACCAAACAGATACTCATGCTTGGAATAGGTATTTTTTTTTTAAAGAAAGTAGTCAGGTCAGGTCTGCAGAAACTTTCAGTTATTAAACAATCATTTCTTCTTCTAATTTCAAAATACATATTTGATCACTTATATAATCCCATGTGGTTGTTTAGTAATCTCTGTCTCTGTCTTGATTCATCTTCTTTTTAAGGACGTAGACTAGAATTACATTGCTAAATTAAATTTTGAATTTTCAAATACATTTAATGTTTGACATACATATAGAAAGTGATAGATAACACAGCCTATAGCTCATAAGGATTAGTTGTGATAAACGCATGCTAGGCGTGCACTCACAGAAACAGAATGAAGACGATTATTATCACCCACACCATCCAACTGAATGGCTGGATATTTTTCTCTAATGTGTAAAATGCTTTCATTCATTGATTTTAATCTGTGGCAGCAAATTAATGTGGTCAAATGATCATTTTGAATTCTTTCTTTACTATTGTTTCCCAGCCTCCAATTTTAACTTTGATGAGCCATGTAGAGATTTACAATTCTATCACACAGGGCTGTACAGGCACAACAAATGTTTGTCAAAAGAATGGATTAATGAATGAATGGATGCAGTGATATACTTCCATGTTTCAGAAATCATTTCTTAATGTTAATCTCTATATCAAAATCATTTTATGTACTGCAATTTTTATTTAACCAGGACAACTGATAATTTTTAAATTATAGAAATCAAATATTGCCAATATAAGGAAAATATAAGTGAAACAGCTTCGTTGTCTGGGGTATAAACCCTGGTCCTTTTGTCACAGCCGAGAAAGAATTTACGACATGGACACATGGTTTTAGGGGGCGAAAAGTTTAATAGAAAAAGATGTGAGAGAGAAAAGACTTCCTTATGCTGAGGGAGCAGATCGCCCAAAAGAAAGTCTCCCGTTTGCAGCAGAATGCAATCGGTTCTGTACAGAGGCTTGAGGAGGTGGTGATTGGCTTACATAGGGCCCAGGGGATTGGTTAGACCAGATGTGACATTTACATAGTTCGCAAAAAGACTGGCCCTCCCACCCTCGTCTTTTATTATGCAAATGAGGGCTCCACCCTCCACCTGGCTGGTTGCCATGATACCTGTATACCTGGCTTTACCTGGAGGCTGCCATGACACCCTGCACATACTGACAAGCAAAAGCGAGCAGGAGATGCCATATTGAATGTACCTGGCTTCCAGGTACAGCTGCTCCATTTACATATGAAAGCTCCTAGTCTGCATATCTATGCCTGACTTCTTAGGCAGCTTTCCCTTAAAGAAGAAACGGTTTAGGGGCTACTTTTTTATATATATACTTTAAGTTCTGGGATACATGTGCAGAACGTGCAGTTTTGTTACGTAGGCTATGGATCCGTCTGGTCCTGGGCTTTTTTTGGTTGGTAGGCTATTAATTACTGCCTATTTCAGAACTTGTTATTGGTCTATTCAGGGATTCCACTTATTCCTGTGTTAGTCATGGGAGGGTGTATGTGTCCAGGAATTTATCCATTCCCTTCTAGATTTTCTAGTTTATCTGCATAGCGGTGTTTATAGTATTCTCTGATGGTAGTTTGTATTTCTGTGGGATCAGTGGTGATATCCCCCTTAACATATTTTATTGTGTCTATTTGATTCTTCTCTCTTCGCTTCTTTATTAGTCTGGCTACCGGTCTATGTATTTTGTTGATCTTTTCCTGGATTCATTGATGTTTGGAAGGTTTTTTTGTGTCTCTATCTCCTTCAGTTCTGCTGTGATCTTAGTTATTTCTTGTCTTCTGCTAGCTTTTGAGTTTGTTTGATCTTGCTACTCTAGTTCTTTTAATTGTGATGTTAGGGTGTCAATTTTAGATCTTTTCTGCTTTCTTCTGTGACAATTTTGTGCTGTAAATTTCCCTCTAAACACTGTGTTAGCTGTGTCCCAGAAACTCTGTGTCCCAGAGATTGTGGGACACAGCTAAAGCATTGGTTTCAAATAACTTATTTATTTCTGCCTTAATTTCGTTATTTACCCAGTAGTCATTCAGGAGCAGATTGTTCAGTTTCCATGTAGTTGTGCGGTTTTGAGTGAGTTTCTTAATCCTGAGTTCTAATTTGATTGCACTGTGGTCGGAGAGACTGTTTGTTATGATTTCCATCCTTTTGCATTTGCTGAGGTGTGTTTTACTTTTAATTATGTGTTTGATTTTAGAGTAAGTGTGATGTGGTGCTGAGAAGAATGTATATTCTGCTGATTTGGGGTAGAGAGTTCTGTAGATGTCTATTAGGTCCACTTGGTCCAGAGCTGAGTTCAAGTCCTGAATATCCTTGTTAATTTTCTGTCTCACTGATCTGTCTAATATTGACAGTGGGATGTTAAAGTCTCCCACTATTATTGTGTGGGAGTCTAAGTCTCTTTACAGGTCTCTAAGAACTTGCTTTATGAATCTGGGTGCTCCTGTATTGGGTGTGTATATATTTAGGATAGTTAGCTCTTCTTGTTGCATTGATTCCTTTACCTTTAGGCAATGCCCTTCTTTGTCTTTTTTTATCTTTGTTGGCTTAAAGTCTGTTTTATCAGAGAGTAGGAGTGCAACTCCTGCTATTTTTTGCTTTCCATTTGCTTGGTTAATATTCCTCCATCCCTTTACTTTGAGCCTATGTGTGTCTTTGCACATGAGATGGGTCTCCTGAATATAGCACACTGATGGGTCTTGACTCTTTATCCAGTTTGCCATTCTGTGTCTTTTAACTGGGGCATTTAGCCTGTTTACATTTAAAGTTAATATTGTTATGTGTGAATTAGATCCTATCATTATGATGATAGCTGGTTATTTTGCCCGTTAGTTGATGTAGTTTCTTCATAGTGTCAATGGTCTTTACAATTTGGCATGTTTTTGCAGTGGCTGGTACCAGTTTTTCCTTTCCATGTTTAGTGGTTCATTCAGGAGCTCTTATAAGGCAGGCCTGGTGGTGACAAAAAGCTCTCAGCATCTGCTTGTCTGTAAAGGATTTTATTTCTCCTTCACTTATTTAGTTTGTTTAGTTTGGTTGCCTGTGAAATTCTGGTTGAAAATTCTTTAAGAATGTTGAATATTGGCCCCCACTCTCTTCTGGCTTGTAGGATTTCTACTGAGAGATCTGCTGTTAGTCTCATGGGCTTCCCTTTGTGTGTAACCTGACCTTTCTCTCTGGCTGGAGGGCTGCTTTTCATTAAAGGAAAATTCTACTAAGATCTTTCACCTTTTCTAGCTGCCTAAAAATAATTTCTTAATAACTGCTGTATTATTTGTAACTTATTGTTCTGCTATAAACAATCCATTCAGAATGCATGAGGGATTATATTATATGCATATACGCCCACTGTAAGTGAGAATGACAAAAGCTATATTTAAAATATATTTTAAGTGCCTGTCCCTGGTCTTCACACACAGATCCCCCTTGACCTCTGTACTCACATGTAAAAATGCGTCTGGTATCTGCATACCTGGAAGTTTTTATGTGTATTGCTAAATGTTTCTTTAACTTCTACAGTGTTTCCAATTCTTTAAACGCTACAGGTCAGTTATTTCTATTAAAACTATGTGTTGGATTTCTCATGGGGTCATTAACAAAGGGACTTACATGGACAAGTGATTAATATTTTTAGGGGATTAAAAATATCCTACCAGGACACATATTCCCTCCTGCAGAGATGGCGTTTCAGATCCTGTGGTTGGTAAACCCTCAGATGATCAATCAAAACTTTCCCTTGGTCCTTTAGCTAAATGGCCCAATTGTTTTTGAGAGAACCTGAAGTTCTGATAACATAGTGGGCTTTTCCCCTTGAATGGTGTCACCGAAGAATACACGGCACCGTGATTCCGTAGCTAATACCGCAACTTTCAGCAACAAGGCTGCTGGAACCGGAATCTTGCACTTCCTGTCTACGAGACAGGGAGAAACTTCACCTGTTTCTGCTGGCAAGGGTTGGGGGAGGCTAGGGGACAAATCCATGTAAAGACAGCAGTGACTGGCAGTTCACAAGTGTTCAAGCTCTAGCTCTTTCCAAGAAAACGTTGTCTAAATAGAAATCCTTTTCAAAGCCTTTCAAGCTGGTTTTCTTCCTGTTCACGTTGGAGCCCCAGGAGAGCTCTCATTCTCAGCCTGCTGGGCCCAGCTTCTCCTCATCCCGCTGAGGTGCTGCGCCTCATGGTGGTGGGGGCTGCAGACCTGTGTGGTGCATGACCACCTGTTCTCCATGGCCTCTACTATGTTGACATGGCCAGTAGGAGCACTGAGAAGAGGCAGGGAGTAACATCACTGTTGACAAAAGGCCAGAAGCTGGGTCTAAGTTCTGCTGCTTACTGCACAGAAAGCCAATCACTGAGACAGCGAGTATTGCCAGGGAAGAAGGCTTTCATCAGATGCTGCAGGAAAGGACATGGGAGATCCATCTCAAATCCATCTCCCTGGCAAACTAAAATTAGAGGTTTATATAGCAGGGAAGAAATGTAACCATGTATGGGAAAACAGAAATGAGGGAGCTGTGAGGAAGAGGCGGCCACCAGGAAGCAGATGATGGGTTGGGCAGTCAGAGTGGATGTGAGGTCTTTGGTCTCATTGTCTAGATGCAGTGATCTGGTGAATTGGAGCTCCATGATGCTATCTGGGAGGCCTGATGGCTGCTGTCCTTAGAAAGGAACTCAGATAAGACAGATGTAACTTTCTCAGGTTTCAAGACTAGGAGGGTCAGTTTCTATGTTTATCTAAAGAAACCCATAAACATCCGCCCTATGGGACAATTCAGCCGGTGTCATCACCATCACTCAGCTGAAACAGAGAGCCAGATCTCCTGCAAAGCCCGCTGCTCACAGTATGGTGAGCCTGGGTGCTCTGCCAGAGCAAGACCACAGGGGAAGAACACGGTCACGCTCCTTACAGTATGGTGAGCCTGTGTGCTGTGCCACAGCAAGACCTCAGGGGAAGTACACAGTCACAGTCACAGGGCTGCCGCAAAGGGTCTTCCGCCCATAGGTCATGAGGGATGAACTGATGCTTTGGAAATCAGTGGGTCCCACACACCTTTCCTATGAACCAGGAAAATATATCATCAAGCCAATAAACAAATATTCGAAGGCCTCTTTCCCAAAATAATTTTCATTGATTTGGTATGATTTAAGGAATTGAAAGCCCATTTCATATAATCTCCTCTTACTCTGGCTTAAGCCCATTAGTTAATAGTCCCTTTAAACAGTTTGGGTCATGGAGTGTCAGGGTATAATCTTTAAAATATCTTCTGCCACCAAAGGCATTTTGATTTTTTGTTTTTAGGAAACCTGGAACCGCCATAAATCTTGCTGAAATAAGTGCCTCTTTCATTGAATTTTGCAGTGGGCAAGGATTCTGACGTGCACTCTTGGACCCGTCTCTTAAATGAGAAAACACTAGATCAGGTCATGAGAAATAAGGTTCTGCTATGTAAATGGTCACAAAAAAGAAAACTAGACTCATTATAACCAACAACTGGAGAAGCATCTGAATCTCAGTTCTACCATTTTTCTTGTGGGCTGATGTCAGGAAGAGGTTTAAGCCCATTCAGACTTCCACCTTCTCTTCCAAGATATGCAAATGCCAAGACCGCCTACCCCACAAGGTTGTTCTGAAGCTTAATGAACTGCAAAGTATAACGTGCTCCACAGAGTGCCTGGCACATGTGTGAGTGTGGGGTGTGTGTGTACACACGTGTGAGTGTGGGCTGTGAGTGTGTGCGTACATGTGTGAGTGTGGGGAATGTGTGCCTGTGTGTACACGTGTGAGTGTGGGGTGTGTGCGCGTGTGTACATGTGTGAGTGTGGGGGATGCGTGTCTGTGTGTACACGTAGTGTGGGGTGTGTGTGTGTACACATGTGTGAGTGTGGGGTATGACTGTGTGTGTACATGTGTGAGTGTGGGGTGTGTGTGTGTGTATACCTGTGTGAGTGTGGGGGATGTGTGCCTGTGTGTACACATAGTGTGGGGTGTGTGTGCGTTTGTACATGTGTGTGGGGGATGTGTGCCTGTGTGTACACAGTGTGGGGGGTGTGTGTGTGTACATGTGTGAGTGTGGGGGATGTGTGCCTGTGTGTACACGTGTGAGTGTGGGGTATGACTGTGTGTGTGTACACGTGTGAGTGTGGGGTGTGAGTGTGTGTGTACATGCACATGCGCACTCCAAGGTGACTTTTCTTTCTCATACTGAAGAAATGAAGGGGTGGTGGCAAGTTTGCAGCTGCTGCTGGCATTTTCTTCTCTCCTTTGATGGTGGAGTCGGCCAGTGCTGTTTGGGGACCCGGTGGTGACAGCGCCCTTACTGTGCACCCGTCTTCGCCAGCTTCTCTGGATGCTTATCTCCGCTTTGTGGGACGCCGGACACCGCAGAGCACCCTCAGACAGAGGGAAGGCAGTTTCTCCAAGATCACATGATGACATGCTTTCATGTCTGAAGCAAGAAAGATTGATTTAATAGAACCAGAAAGAAGTGTGTGAGATTTCCCTGTCCACAGATTTTGCAGGAAAGGACCGAGAAGCCCCCCTTTCCCTTGCGCCCTGAGCGTAATGGTTAACTTCGACTCACAGGGGAGGTTTGGTCTGACAGCTGTGACTTGCCTGTGAGTCTGTGGATCCTGTAAGTGAAACTCAACTGCAGGGAGTGGTAAAAATCATCTCAGGATATTAAATCACCAGAGGAAAGCAGAGCTGAACAAGCGTTCCAGCATCACAGCGCATGTTTTGATTTAGAGGAAGAGAGAACGGCCGAATGGTCATTTGCTGTTTCTGCCAGAAGGTAAATAGTTTGAGAAAACTCCATGACGCTTGTAAAGAAAAGAAGAAGTCAGGCCGTATCCCCAGAGCACTAATGTGACCAGTCGGTTCAGCCCCCAGAGGAGCCTGCAGACCGCTGGGGAAATCCAAGTAAAGTTTGCAGTATCCTTATGCCAGAGAATAGTGGTTTTGTTGATGACAACTGATCCACTGATACCAAACCCTCCTCCACCAGGGCTGCCTTTCTAGAGCTGAGGCTGTGGGTGCGGGCACAGCAGCATCAGCATTTCTGTAGGACAGGCCATGCCCACTGGCCTTCCCGTGGCAGCGTTGGTGCATCTACAGGACAGGCCGTGTCACCTGGCCCTTCCTGTGGTGGCATCGGTGCGTCTACAACACAGGCCACGTCTACTAGCCCTTCCCGTGGTGGCATGGGTACATCTAGGCACAGGCTATGTCCGCTGGCCCGTCCTACTCCTGCTTCCCAGGAGCAGCTCCATCCATCTCAAGGCACGGCCAGGCTCACCCCCAGGAAGCTTCTTTCAACCCCAGTCTCTCTCTGGGCGTCCCTAGTCTCTGATGCTGCACCCTTGGTTCTCAGGACGGCCTTTTCAGTGTGATTATGGAGCACACTGGGGCCAGGCTCTTAGGCTCTAGATAAATGCTTCCTGAAATCAGCGAATCTTACAATGTTGTATCCACCAGTGAAGCTTGCCAGGCACTTTACGTCGGTGCCCAACGTGGAAGAAAGCCCAGGGTCTTCAGCCCCCTTATCAATGGTCTCTGGAAAACCCATATGGTAACAGCAACCATATGGACATTCAGTTCGACCTGGACATTCAGTTCAATATTGCAGCCTTGCTGATAACGGTGAAAAACAATACTCTTTCACAAAGTTCCAACCACAACTTTTACGAAAGTCAGTCAGTGATAATCCCTGTATCACTGCAGCACAGCTAATTGCTTCAAACCACGTTTTCGTTTTAGTGGTTTTGAGAACAACCTGGCAGGCATGTGCACACACACTTAGAAAGAGCATCATGTCTTTCTTTTGTCATCCAGGAAAAATCACTGTGTGTGCCCTGCCAGGTAGAGTGTAGTAAATTCTTCTTTTTGTACGCTGGAGGTGAACTGCTCCTTCTTAATCTGTTTGTTTTAAAAGTGTGGCATGCAACTACATTTTTACAAAGAAATCAGTTTAAAAAATCATTTCATCGGCCTGTAGCAAACACATTATAAAGTGAGAAGATGTGGTATGTGACTTTCCTGTGATCATGGAGATAAGTCATAAGCTGCCCCATACATTTTTTTTAATTTACGAGATATTCCATACAAGAAGGAAGGTTTACTTGTTTTGTGAAATTTTTCAGACTCTTTAAATTTTACTTAAATACACTTAGTGAGGTCTGTGATTTTGAACAGTGGCGACAGACCTTTGAGAGTAACTATGAAACACATAATGAGCCAAGGTGGGGATGAATTTGCATGCATTTGCTCAAATTTTCTGGGCAGGTCACTAACTGATTACTTCCTCCCTGTTGCATTTGCCTGTGACATGTTGTGACATGGTTATGACGCTTGATATGTGCCATCGTTCACTGCTTAGGTGAACCTCGCTGGGAAAATCCAACCAATTTGGCGTGTTTAATATCACCTTTCTGCTCATCTCAAACTTGCCAAAGAAAAATATAATAAGGCAGATGTCACATTTTAATCTATATTCCCGCGTCTCTCTGTTGCCTTTGATTTTTTACTACCCCTATTGCTGGGACTCAAAACTTCTTCGGAATCAATATTTCTGCTTAAGAGAAGCAACGCAGAGCCAGCTTTGCCACTGGAGAGGTCATTGAGAGCCCCCGTCCGCAGTCTCGCTCCAGCGCGCAGCGGACACCGGGCCTGCCTTCGGCCAGAGCCGTAGAATCTGAAGACGTGTCATTGATGATAAAGATTCTGTTTTCTGTAAATGACCCATGACAAATGGGTTACCATGAAAACAGCCGCCTACTCTCCAGGGCTGTCACGTGGAAACCCCTTTATCGATGAGCCCTCCTCACATCTCCACCCGCGGGCTCTCTGACCATGTGTCCATGTCGCACTCAACACCCTTGATAAATCAGCGCTGTGAAACACTGCCAGGAAAGGCGTCATCAGAAGCAAGTGTTTAAACGGACCTCATCCCTGCCAAGGTGAGATGAATGTGCAGTCCCCAACGCGTCCCACCCGGAAAAACGAAATATTTCCTAACCCAGGTCTCTCCCCGGCACTACTGGCCTTTGGGATGGAGAAGTCTTGGGAACTTTCTGAGTCTCCTAAATAGTGCCTTGAATCTTGTCAGTTTTCAATAATTTTGCTTAAGGCATTGATTGACGTTAGAGGGAAAAGTCAGGAACAAAAGAAAAAAAGACAGGATTTTGAATGTTTGTCTGGTAAAAGAGAAGCTCAGCACCCGATTGATTTCATAACATCTGATCATCCTTCCTCAGTTTTCTAGGCTTCAGATTCTCTTTCCAATGCATGCTTTTTACAAATGTATCCACTTTGGGCTGGATGTGGTGGCTCACACCTGTAATCCCAGTACTTTGGGAGACCGAGGTGGGTGGATCATCTGAGGTCCTGAGGTCAGGAGTTTGAGACCAGGCTGGCCCACATGGTGAAACCCTGTCTCTATTAAAAATACAAAATTTAGCCAGGTGTGGTGGCAAGCGCTGTAATCCCAGCTACTCGGGAGGCAGAGGCAGGAGAATCGCTTGAACACAGGAGGCAGAGGCTGCAGTGAGCTCAGATCGCCCCACTGCACTCCAGCCTGGGCAACAGAGAAAGACTCCATCTCAAAAAAAAAAAAAAGTCTCCACTTTGTAAATGTTAATATGTAACATTATGCCTTAAAGCACAGGTCATCCTGAATGGCAGGCTTGTTTTGTCGTTTGTCCTTGTTAACTCGGGATGACATTAGAGGTCAGAGTGGATTAGGAAAATCCACTCATGGGTTAAAAATGATTGGAGGAGGTGAGGGATGGGAAGTGTCCTGCAGACACAGAAAGGATGTGTTTCCACCTGCAGCAGCCGGCAGCTGCTCTCGGGCACCGTGTCTGGACATCCTTGGGGAAAACTGCTGCTCGGTCTGTCCTCACAGACGGCGCTCAGACCCCTCCAGGAGACGCCCACGTGCGCACTCACCTACGTCACAAGCAGCCTGGCAGTGCCTCCCACTGTGTGTGTGTGGCAGGGGTGGGGTGGTGGTTGCTTTGCACTCTGATGAGGGGAGCAGATTCCCTTCAAGAAGCACTTTTATCAGCTCTTCCTGTGCACTAAAGGAAAATAATTGACTGTAACGGACAACCAATTCCTGTTGAGGGAGAGTGTTAGGGAGTTCATCCTCTCTATAAAAATAAGTTATAGCCTGAGTCCAGGCCAAGGTGCCTCATGCATTTTTGGTAGGTTCTAAGAGTTATTTAATACAGTCATCATCTCCGGATGCATTTATTTTGCTTTGGTGGCCTGTCCAGCTGTACAGCCGGTGGTACAGAATGCCCCATGCAACTCGAGTTTGGGAGGAGACTGGCTGGTGACGGCCACAGGTGAGCGTGGCCTGGCCCAGCTCAGATGCATAGAGCTGGCCCCTTTCCGGTGGTCTTCCTACAACTTAAACCTATGGAGCCTGTACTTATAGGGAAGCAAGTAAGTTTCTGCTATTATATATTTTCTCCGTTACAGAAACAGTAGCTATTCGTTATAATGATTTTTAGAAAAACACACAAGCCCAAGAGCAGACAGTGCCCATCCTGTCACTCAGCAGCCGCGATTAACATCTTCAGGTGCTGGTGACCTCTTCTCACACACAGGTTTCCTGTACAAATAGATTCCATCTTGACCTATGCATAGTTTAGCATCCGGCGTGCTTCTGAACCTAGTGTGATAGAATCAGCATTTTCCACGATGACATGACCTGCGTAGAAATGACGCCATGCCTGTGCGCTGTCCTGCGGGGACACACCTTGCCTAGCTGTGTCTCTGCTGCTGGGTTTGCTGGTATTTTTAAATGATGCCATGCCTGTGCGCTGTCCTGCGGGGACACACCTTGCCTAGGTGTGTCTCCGCTGCTGGATTTGTTGGTATTTTTAAATGACGCCACACCTGCGCACTGTCCTGAGGGGACGCACGTTGCCTAGCTGTGTCTCTGCTGCTGGATTTGTCGGTATTTTTAAATGATGCCACGCCTGCGTGCTGTCCTGCAGGGACGCACCTTGCTTAGCTGTGTCTCTGCAGCTGGGTTTGCTGGTATTTTTATAATCCTGCACTGTTACAGGTATATTCATGTGTGCTGTCTCACTGTCCCCTCATTTCACGCTATTTTTTTAGGCTAGACGTCCAGGAACAGACTTGCTCCGTCAACCACAGGGCATGGGCGTGGGGAAACAGTAGACCACAGGCTGACGGGGAAGAACACGCCTGTTGACTTGGGACTTTCTTTTCTTACAGCTGTCTCATATACAAATTACAAGAAAACGCCCCCACCGGTGCCCCCTCGGACCACCTCCAAGCCTCTGATCTCGGTGACGGCGCAGAGCAGCACCGAATCCACCCAGGACGCCTACCAGGACAGCCGCGCACAGAGGATGTCCCCATGGCCCCAGGACAGCCGCGGCCTCTACAACTCCACGGACAGCCTGGACAGCAACAAGGCCATGAACCTCGCGCTGGAAACGGCCGCTGCCCAGCGCCACCTGCCAGAGAGCCAGAGCAGCTCTGTGCGGACCAGCGACAAGGCCATCCTGGTGTCCAAGGCGGAGGAGCTCCTCAAGAGCCGCTGCTCCTCCATCGGGATTCAGGTAGCTGCTCTTGGCCGCCCGTCAGGGCCTCGCTCCACTCAGTCCTGCCAATAGCCTAGAATAAGCCAAAACCCAACCAGCGGCCCTGGGTCCTTAGCACTGACTGTAACCCCAGCAGGGCTGTGGAATCTGAGAGCAGGGCTGTGCGTTCGCCTTGCAGACCTGCCAGCGCAGTGAGTAGGTGGGAGACCCCCGAGGTGATGCGGACCCCAGTGCAGGGCTGAAGGAAACCCAGGGGTTCCAGCTCCCTGTCCCCTGCCACCCTGAAAATACACTCCGGGCCACTTGTTTTCCAAGGGCCAAAGGCTGCCTAGAGAGTATGGAGATAACACTGTTTTGATGCTTTAAAGGGGAGGGTTTCTGTTGAAGTCTGATTTTTCAAAAGCTTTTCGGTATTGTGGCCAAAGAATTGAGTGGGGAAACCAAAAGGTGCTGGGAATGAAGAGGTAAAAGGAAGGGCATGCTCTCCTCTCTACAGAAATTGGACGTGCTCACAGCAACTTCAGGTGCTGGCAGGCCCCTCAGCTGGGGTCACAGATGTTGCATCCATGGTTTCAGACCACAGACGGTTGACCCGCCGTCCATCTGGGCCCCCAGATGTCTACCCATGATATAGACGTGGCAGACGGTTCCTTTCCCCGTGAATGGAGAGCTCTGGCCGGCTCCTGCCCACGCTGCACCTCCCTCTGCAAGTCTGTTTTAGGTGCAGTGTTGTGCACCCAGGGAGGCCGGGAGATTGTCCTGTGATCTGGGTCAGGTAGCGCATCCCTCCGGGATCTGGCGGACGTGGTTGAGCAGGGCTGGCCGTCAAGCCCTCTGCCAACACGGCCCACCTCCTGCTTCCTTTTACCCCTTCATTCAGCCTGCGTTCCTCGGAGCTTTAACAGTCAGATTCTTGATTGCCGCTGGGGCGGCCCAGGGAGGAGGGTGAGTGGAGCGTGCTGAGAGCCGGGCCCGTGCGGCGCTGGTAGCTAGGCATGCGGGCGGAGAGAGCAGGGGAGCCGCCCGCTGGTCCAGGGCCTCCGAACCAGGTCTCCACACTGTGGCTTCATTGTTTTGTTTAGGATTCTGAATTCCCAGAGCATCAGCCATACCCAAGGTCAGATGTAAGTACCGAAATGTGCTCCAAAGCCGCGTCCGCATGACTTTCATTTTCTCTCCCTTTTTTGGATGTTCATGCGACCGCTCTTGTCGCCTCTGTCCTGATTCTATGTGCCAGGCACTATGCTGGGTGCTCCCATCTGTCCCCCTTAGATGAGGACAAGGGGCTCACCAGGGTCCCTAACCTGCCTGCAGCCCTGGGCCTCGCTGGGCTCCGGCGCCGGTAAGCAGGAAAGCTAGGGTGCCATCGCCCGTCTCCGTCTCCGTCTCCAGGGTCACGTCTGCAGTAGAGACTGGAGAGGCCCCCAAATTAGCCAGGTGACTTCCCATTGCCAGACACTCCCACCCTCTCTCTTTTCTCCTCAGCCACCTCCCACAGGTGCCCTCCAGGATATCCACCCAGCCACGACTGAGGCAGTGCCAACTTCTAAGCACGTGCAGTACCGACTTTATCTGAAATGAGTGGGACATAATTTTGGAAACTCATACAGTTAAGTCAGCACGCTCGGCACAGTGCCGCCGCTTCCTGCCCCGCCCACAGCCAGGACCCCACACCCCTCCGTGGTCAGCCCTCTTCCGCTCCCAGCTCCCACCCCTGGCATGGCAGCCTCTGCTGAGTACAGGCTTCTCCTCATCCCCCCAGCTTCCCCTGCAAAGCTCAGCCTGTGCCTTTACCCCTTCCCGGAGGCCTCTCTGGACCCCAGCCCCACACACTGTGTCCTGTGAGAGGGAACTGCACCCCCAGCCTGTTGCCACCCTGCACCCAGCACTGTGCCTGGCACATAGGGAGTGCTCAGTAAATGTTGGGTAAGCGAGTGGACGGATGGGTCGCTGGGTGCGTGCTGGGTGAGGATGGATGCAAAGACAGGAATGTAGGTGGATGACGAAGTCACCTTTCATGGCAGTAAGAAAAAAAAACGCACAACATCCTGTGTGTTTTCTGTGCATCCTGTGAGCTGGCGGTCTCACAATTATCCAAAGGAAGTGAATTGAAAAGCTACAGAGAAAATGTAGTTGGAGCAGCTCCAGTGTCAGGATAAGGAAAACAGCCAAAGAATTGAAGCCACTGCAGGAGTAAAGGGGAGGAAAAGAAGGAATCGAGCAGATGAAAGACGGGTTCCTTCTTTCAGGGAGGCGTCAGGAGGGGAGCTGCAGACGGCAGCCTTGCCAGGGCAGGAGGTGACAGGCTGGGACAAGAGTGAGCAGGCTGTGGACAGGTGGCCACGTCCCTGCCAGGCACCATTTAATCCTTACAATAACCCTGTGTGCTGGTTGTTAATTGTGCCCAGACTATGGATGGGAAAACTGAGGCTCAGGGAGGGTCAGTGACTTGCCTAAGGGCTCACGGCCAAGGCCATGAGTGAAGGCAGCGGCCGAGACTGGAGCCTGCACTCCACTCCACCCCTCTCTGCTCTGCTTCTCAAAGAGGAGAAAATCCCAGAATGATTCCGTGCCCTCAGGAGCCTGCCCTGGTTCTGTTCCTGTTCTGGGACACAGGGCAGGTGTCACGCTGTTCTGCAGCTCATAGACAAAGCTGGCTAGCCCGTGTTCCACCAGCATTCAATGGGACTGGCTTCCGGGACCTTTGGGCACAGTTTTGTCTGAGTGCAGATAGCAGGAGAATCTGTGTTCTGCGAATGTCATTCCTACAAATGAACAGCGTCCACGTCACTGAACACATCTTCTGTGGAGCTCACGCCCTCTGTGAGTCACTGGCTCATGGAGAGACAGCTCCAGGAGGGTCCTGTCCCGGGGCGGGGGGTCCTGTCCCACAATGCAACTCCCTTGTTCACAGTGCATTGCATGACCTTTTACTATCAGGGTTTGAATTCAGGATTCTCATTATAATTACTGGGCTACGTCTAACGTGATCCCTAATGAGTGAGGGTCCTCAGCTCACACCTCCTATGGCCCCCGTCCTCCTTCCCTGCCCAGCTTAGAGCAGAAGCCAGCGGCAAGTCCCCTGTTCCTCAGATGTCTGGCCCCGGCCACCTGAGTCTGGCCCTTACAGCAGGACTCACAGACAGGTCTCATCACAGCTCCAGATTTGCAGGCCAGATGCCCGTAGGAGAGAATGGGCTCCAGCCTTGGCACTCATAGGCCAGTCCTAGGATAAGGAGGAGAGCTTGTGGGCATGGCTGAGCTACCTCGGAGACGTCCTCTGACCCGGTCTGGCCTGACCTCGCTTTTCTTCATTCCAATTGGACCATTTGTGTATTCACTTTCGTTTTTATCCTTTGCGGTTTGTCTCTCCTGCTAAGTTTTCCATTCTCTTTTGTGTGCATGTGTGTGTTTGGGGAACTCTGGGAAATGTTTACAGCTCCCAGATACTGCGGTTAGGAGGGACGGAGGCCTGGTCTAACATTCAGGGTCCTTCTGTCCCTGGTGCCTTGTGAATCCCACCTTTATAAATGAGATCAGTTTTTTTGTTGTTGTTTTTTATTTTTAATTTTTTTTTTTTTTTTGAGATGGAGTCTCACTCTGTTGCCCAGGCTGAAGTGCGTGGCACGATCTCAGGTCACTGCAGCCTCCGCCTCCACCTCCTGAGTTCAAATGATTCTCCTGCCTCAGCCTCCCGAGCAGCTGGGATTACAGACATGTGCCACCACGCCTAATTTTTGTATTTTTAGTAGAGATGGGGTTTCACCATGTTAGCCAGGCTGCTCTCAAACTCCTGACCTCAGGTGATCCACCTGTCTCAGCCTCCCCAAGTGCTGGGATTACAGGCATGAGCCTCCATGCCCAGCCAAGGAGATCAGTTTCTATTCTGTGATCTCACCAGGTTGTGAGAAGGCAGGGGCAGCCTGGAAAAGACTCTGCGGCTGTCCATTCTGAATGTCCTGCCTGTGATAAAAGTGTCTGCCTGATTCTCCAGGCACACAGGCAGCTGCTCTTCCTCATGGCTGCCCCAGAGCTCCAAGCCTCACAGGCAGCTGCTCTTCCTCATGGCTGCCCCAGAGCTCAAAGCCTCACAGGCAGGGCCGGCCACTCACCTGTAGCTCTGGGAGGCAGAGCACGTCTCAGAGGGAAATAAACAGGAGTTTGCATCAGATTCAGGGCACCTGCCCTGCTATGTGTGAGGTGTTGAAGGAAGAGCGGAAAATGAGCTTGTTGGGAGAGCAAAGATTACAGATTGGCACCCTGGCCCAGTATTACTAGTGAGCGGTTCCTGCTGCCAGCCCCGCCCACTTTCATTTTCTCAGCAGCCCTACAGAAGCTGGGCTCAGAGGAGGCTGGTTGGCTTTGACGCCGCTGCTAGCCTGGGACTGCATGGGAGGTGGGACAGTGATTTTGCTCATTCATCTTTTTTTCTTGCACCCATATATTTTTCAAAACTTTAAGAGATGAGGGCTTGCTGTGTTGCCCAGGCTGGAGTGCAGTGGTGCAATCAATCACAGCTCACTCCAGCCTCAAACTCGTGGGCTCAAGTGATCCTACCCCCTCAGCCTTGCAGAGCACTGGGATTATAGATGTGAGCCAGTGTGCTCCCACTGCAATTCTAGTCAGAATTTCCTTTGGAAAAGACTCTTGAGTTACCTTTCCATTGTATAAAATAATTTATTTTCTTTGTCCCAGACTTGCTTTTCTGTCTCACATGAAGCCTCTCTATGCCCAGGATTTCTGAAATTGATAAATACTTAGCTCCTCCTGGCCAAGTATGATTTTACCATGTCCCCTTCAGACTTTACCATCCAGCAATGGAGAACTTCATTTTACTTAGAAAGATTTCATAAAAGACAGCCAGGGTAAAATCTGCACAGTTCATCATATGCGTGTGCCTTTAATGTAATATACATACCACTATTCACGTGACCGTCCTTAAAGCTGGGATGAGAGAACAGGGAATTTGCATTTGCTGTGGACGAACCTACTTGAGTCAGGCCTCAGGCTGAGAGTTTTACATCAGTTAACTGAGGCATTGGGTGTCCCCTCTTTGAAACAAGGAAGCAAAGATTCAACAAAATTTAAAAGAGTTTCCTAAGAGTTGCATGGCCAGCAAGTAGCAGAATCTGACCAGCTCCAAAAACTGTATTTTTCAAATTCACTATAAAAAATAACAAAAATATATTAGAGGAAATTTGGAGACAGAGGAAGGAAGGAAAACTTCCTTTTACTTTTGTTATATTTTTCTTTTTCATGGTACACAAACATGCCTGTGACTGCGAGTGTCTCTATGCTTGTGCATGCCCCTGGTCATTGTTGTCCATGGCACCTGTCAACCTGTGTTCTTTAAAGTCTGTATTATAAGCATTCTTGAGGTTATCTTTAGAACCATCTTTATTTTTTAGAGACAGGGTCTCTCTCACTTTATTGCCCAGGATGTAGTACAGTGGTGCAATCACAGCTAACTGCAGCCTCAGTGTCCTGGGCTCAAGTGATCCTCCTGCCTCAGCCTCCCGAGTAGCTTGTCCCACAGGTGCTACCACTCAGCTAATTTCTTTTTTTGTAGAGATGGGGTCTTGCCATGTTGCCTAGGCTGGTCTCTAACGCCTAGGCTCAAGTGATCCTCCTGCCACAGCCTCCCAAAGTGCTGGGATTACAGGCATGAGCCACCATGCCCAGCTCCATTGTTTTCACTGCTGTGTAGTATTCCGTGTCACAAGTAAATCATGACTTACTGCACATTCCTATCCCACTGTATCACCCTCATTCTCCCCAGGTGCTACTTTATAAATAATGCTGCAATGAACACCTCACACACTGGTCAGAATTTAAGGTCCTTTGTTTAGGCTGGATTCCTAGAAATAGAATAAGTGAGAGAGACAAATATTCTCCACATTTTTATGATAAAAACGAGTGTTCCTTTTACAAAATATCTTTAAAAGTATTCATTTATTTCACTCATATCAGATTTGGCAATATCTACCAAAATTATAAAGTGCAAATACCTCTGACCCAGACCTCCCGTCTGGTGAATATATTCAGAGAAGTTTTCACACAAGTACAGACATGTATTTATATAGCAGCATCATTTATAATGGCAGAAAACTAGAAATAACCAAATTTCCCCTGCACTGAAGGCTCATTAAATGCACTAGGCTATACTCATAAAATGGAATCCTTTGCACTTAAAACACGAGGCAGCTCCATATGTACAGACATGGAATTTTAAATGTATTAATTGTATTACAATCCTTTGCGTAAAATAACACTGATCATGTTTATGTCGAGCAAGGTAAGGTTTAATAAAGTCGTGACCCACTTAACACTAGAAACGGGAATGGTAAATTCTGACAGGAAGGCCAGGATCTTCACTCAAGAATGTTCTTCCTCCTGTAGCCCGTCTCACCCAGCTATCAGAACACGCATCCCAGTCTAGGGTCAGCTTCTGCAAACACGCATCCCAGTCTCGGGACCGCTTCTGCGCCTGTCTTCAGAATTACACCCGGTGAAAGTGGACGTCTCTGTCCGTTCCCCTGGATCCACGGCGGCGGCCGAGAGCTCCAGGGTTTTCTCGCGCTCTGTCTTCTGTGCGGCACCCGGCTCTGGGGTCAGAGAGATCCCGGCAAGAGCCCTAGCCCTGACCCCAACCAGGGCGCGCTCCTGAGCAAGTCACCCCCCTCCTCTGATCCGCCAGCTCTCTCCTGGGGCTGGAAACATCCTTGGGGTTATTGTGTGGAGTACACGTGATAACGCTGGAACCTCAGCCTAGTGCCTGGCGCAGGGTACGCACCAAATAAGTCTTCGCTGTTACCATCAGTACCTCTCTTAGCCACAAATCTGAGCCAGTCCTCGTTGACACAGGCTTAACCTTAGGATAGTCACAAAGGGCAACTCAAATGTTAACGTGCAGCTCCTCTCTCTTGCCTCACAGGGGACAGGGTCAGAAATATTTCATGCTTTGCACCTTTTCCTTGTAGTGATCAGTAATATTTTTAAGAAGGGAGAGATTTTATAACTTAGCTATGACACTTCAGAGAGGGCTCAAAAGTCCTTTTGATACAATAGGTAATACTTTTCTGGAAAGAGGAATGACTGAGTGCCTGGAATCATATCAATGGCTTAACTAACCTTTGGTTTCACAGTTTTCCTACTTGGTTTGGTTTTGTTTTTTTTTTTTTAGAGAACGTACTGTACTAGAATTCCCTTGTGGGATAACTTCACATAGCTGATGATCATTGCAAGGCTTGTTGGGTTTGTGGGGACTTTTTGGCAAATACAGCCACAATCAGAATTCTCTGTGGAATACATGATTTCTGTTCTGATCTGACGTCACCCTGCTGGCCATCCTCTTAGCAGACGTGAGACAGCTCTATGGAGATGAAGGTGGAGAGTTTGCCTCTGTTTCTGATCAGTGCTGAAATTCCTTTCTGTGTCTTTCTGTACGTGGATGCAGCCATCAGTATAAGTCTTTTAAATCGCTTATTTGTTGTCATTAGCTGTGTTTGGTTCATGCTGTACTTTCTTCACCATAGGGCGTGATAAGAGCTTTTAAGTCCTGTTATAATGCAGTTCAACAACACCTATTTTTTGCCTGAGCTGAACTAAGCAGTTTTATTTGCATACATTTAGAAGACCAAACTGCAGCCTTGAGTTCAGGTAGTTATGTAAAATGTGATGAGACGCAGGAGTGATGTAATTACTCCAGTGTGAATGCATTTCCCTCTCTGCGGTTTTACTGGGTCAAGTGCACCGCTGCATTAATTAAACAAATGCGTAATTAATTACAGCAAATCCACAACAACAACAAAATAGTCCCTTGCCCAGGCCCCATGTTTCAGTTCTAAAATAAGACGTTCTCTGTTGAATTAGGTGGAAACGGCCACAGATTCTGACACGGAGAGCCGCGGTCTGCGGGAATACCACTCTGTCGGGGTGCAAGTGGAAGATGAGAAGCGGTAACTCAGCCCCTCCTGACACGCGGTGACCCCCGAGCGAGGGCTCTTTGTCAAAGGCCTGATGGAAGCTCCTAGATCCTGCCGGCCCTCAATCATGCCTGTCCTTGTGGAAACAGGGCCATACGTTTATACTTTTCCATTGATAACCCTCAAGTATGAATTAACACCCGCCTATGTCTTGTTTTTGCAAGAGGCAAGGGAGTAATTCTTTCCAAAGTAATTTATCACCTCTGAAAGCAGAGCAGCTGACGGCCTGAAAGTCAGAGTCCTTGATCCAAAGGAAAGAAGGACGGGCTGAGGGTGACGCCAATGCAGGCCTTACGCCTTGTCATGTTACACGTAAAACGATAGAAAGACAGCAAAGCACGTTCAAGGCCTTCATACACCGTGAAATTGTTTCACTTCAAAAATATTACCTAGAAACAAAAAATACAAAGTGATATCCATTAGTGTTATTTTTGTAACAAGGCAGGACGATCATTTTAGTTTATATTTAAAATAGCATGTATTGTCTATTTCATAAAAACAAATTTTGATGAGAATATTACATGGTGAGGGCTCAGCCAATGTGTGACAGGGACAGTGTTGGGTGGCCTCCCTCATCAGGGAGCGTTTTAGCACCCACCCTATGGAGATTTTGATTGCAAAGAAATTCCGACCCCAGCTTATGGCTTCCCCAGTTTCCAAGAGACCTCCTAGAACCTGGCCATCTTCTGCACCTGGGAGCCGGGCAGGCTGCCTTCCATCCTGCTCTGTGGCTCAGTGTCCCTCCCTGTGCCCCCAGCAAAGGGAACACGTGGCAACGTCACTAACCAGCTGCATGCACAGCTGTGTGCTTCTATGGGTTCAGCCTGCAGAGCCACAGGGATGGCTGCAGTAGCTGGGACTATGTAGACACAGAGAGACACACACACACCACACAGGCACACGATACAGAGCATACCCACGTGCACACACACGCTCACAGTGTTCTCACCCAGCATACTGGTCTCCAACTGTAAGCCCCCTCCTATCAACTATTTTGGTGATCAGCTATGTGGAAAAGATGACATTAAAATATAGACAGTGAAAATGATTTTCCAACACCTGCCAAAGTCAGAATTTGGAGTCATTATTTTGCATACAGGGGTTAATGGGGACATATTAAATTATCCAGACAGAAGTGGCTCAGGCCCTGAAACACAATTTGGAAGCCACTACAACTCAGTATGATGTTACTATTGTTTACATAAAAGAAGCAACCCATGGCTTTGGCTGCATAAGCTCGTAGCATATTTCTGAAAGGGAGGTAGCCATTTGCTAATGGTGGTTTCAAGAAACACGTTAACTCTCATTGTATCATTCAATAAACTTAAATCCCAAGTGGGTGTTATTTAGGCCTGAGACTTAGGCAGATGTTAAAGTATAATGATTTGCAAAACCAAATGTTCTTCCATAGACAAAACACCAGCATATTTCACAAACAAAACACTACCTGCCCTTGAGCCGCCAGGCTGTTGAGCTCAGGTGCGCTCCTGACAGGCGACATGTAGGACTTTGTTGCATGAAGTCCTCTCAGAAGGGCTACCATCTGTCTTCCTTCCCTCCTTTTGCAGACACGGACGTTTTAAACGTTCTAACAGCGTCACGGCCGCCGTCCAAGCTGACCTGGAGCTGGAGGGGTTCCCAGGCCACATCACCACGGAGGACAAAGGCCTTCAGTTCGGCTCATCCTTCCAGCGGCACTCCGAGCCCAGCACCCCCACCCAGTACAGCGCGGTGAGAACTGTACGGACCCAGGGGCTCTTCAGCTATAGAGAAGACTATCGGACCCAAGTGGACACCTCCACCCTGCCCCCTCCAGACCCCTGGCTGGAGCCCGCCATCGACACGGTAGAGACTGGGAGGATGTCTCCGTGCCGCAGGGATGGCTCGTGGTTTTTGAAGCTGCTGCACGCAGAGACAAAGAGGATGGAAGGCTGGTGCAAAGAGATGGAGAGAGAGGCGGAGGAGAACGACCTCTCGGAGGAAAGTAAGAGCTCAGGCTTCCCTAGGGCCTCTTAAATATCATTTCTCAGTAATGCAAATATGCACATCACAGCATTAGTGGAGAAAAGTTCCTCCCTTTGGTATTCAAGTGAAGGGAAATAAATGTGCTTTCTAGTATATCCCCCTCAATTCTAAGAAAAGATATAAATTACATGAAAAGAGAAGCAGTCACTACGATATCGAAGGAAAATTGTGTGTGTTTTGTCAGGTAAGTTGAATAGAAAATCAACTGTGCTAACAGTTTTCTTGGGAGCATAGTTGATCTCATATTCCACTTAGCAGTTCTCTTGAATTTTGGCAAAAACTTAATTTGCAGCATTTATGTTATTTTCTAGAATTGTTACCAGCTCATGCTTTACAAGAAAATGCCTTGGCATTATGCCAAAGAGAAGTCGATGGTAAGTAAAAGATTAAGTTAGTTAACTGTGTGATGATGTGCTCAAAGGTCTCACTCCTGGGTGGAATGGGAAGGCCGTGTCATTCCTCTACCAGAGTCACCACCAAAGGTCTCACTCCTGGGTGGAATGGGAAGGCCGTGTCATTCCTCTACGGGAGTCACCACCAAAGGTCTCACTCCTGGGTGGAATGGGAAGGCCGTGTCATTCCTCTACCGGAGTCACCACCAAAGGTCTCACTCCTGGGTGGAATGGGAAGGCCGTGTCATTCCTCTACGGGAGTCACCACCAAAGGTCTCACTCCTGGGTGGAATGGGAAGGCCGTGTCATTCCTCTACGGGAGTCACCACCAAAGGTCTCACTCCTGGGTGGAATGGGAAGGCCGTGTCATTCCTCTACGGGAGTCACCACCAAAGGTCTCACTCCTGGGTGGAATGAGAAGGCCGTGTCATTCCTCTACCAGAGTCACCACCAAAGGTCTCACTCCTGGGTGGAATGGGAGGGCCGTGTCATTCTTCTACCAGTGTCACCAGGGCAGATCTGTCCCAGTCCCGTTGGTACTCACCTATGCCTCTGCTTCTCCACATGGAAGGGGACAGCCCCTTATTCTCCGCCTTTCTCCCATCTGCCTAGAGAAACCTACCATCAAGACCGTTCAGGCCAGGCACGGTGGCTCACGCCTGTAATTCCAGCACTTTAGGAGGCTGAGGCGGGTGGATGGCCTGAGGTCAGGAGTTACAGATCAGCCTGGCCAACATGGTAAAGCCCCATATCTGCCAAAAATTCAAATGAGCCAGGCGTGGTGGCGGGTACCTGTAATCCTAGCTATTTGGGAGGCTGAGGCAGGAAAATCACTTGAACCTGGGAGGCAGAGGTTGCAGTGAGTCAAGATCGTGCCATTGCACTCCAGCCTGGGCAACAGAATGAGACTCTGTCTCAAAAAAAAAAAAAAAAAAAAAAAAGAGCTCAGAAGCAGCACCCATTATAAATTGCTGTATTTGATTGACTTCTAAGCTAATACCACCTGTCTTTGTTTATAGACCAATTACATAATTGCACAATACCTACAACTAATGCTTATGTTTAACACAGTACAATTTCACAAAGCTATTTCTGAATGTCTTGACAAATTACGGTCTAAGTATTTTTCTTTTTCTGTGAATTTATTTGTACATTGACAAGATCATTATAAATGCTGAACTTCAAAAGGATAGCTGAGATCCTTGGGAATTTGTCCCTGACATTTCATTTCTAGATGGCTGTTTTAATAGGGCATTCACTAATCCTAGAAATAGAAGTGCAACAATGAAACTACATTGACTATGACTTACAGAGAATAACGGCCTTGGAGCCTCGGCAGTCTGAGAAAATCAATGGCGTGCTGATTTTTTATTGTTAAAACTTAAGGTCTGAACCTATGAAGAAAGAAAGACATTGCCTTTAATTGACTAAGCCTGTTCTTCCACATTTGTCTCTTAATCATCAAATCCCACCTATTCTTTACAGGAGGTGACGATGGACGCCGAATGTTGGGGAGATGCTGCCTTCCACGTGACCCACAGTCCCCGCAGCACGGCTGCATGGGGCTGGTGCAAGTCAGCACAGCCGTGTTCCGATCGTTCACACGGCGTTTGCATTTCTCATGGTTAGGGTACATTTAACAGAGTAACTTCACAATTTTGATATCTAAAAATCACTCATTTTCTGCAGCATCTTCCACCCTTGTTAGTATATGCCTCAACTTGGCCAAATTGTCTTAATTATAAAAGGGATTTATAATCTTTAGCACAAAGATAAAACACAGAAAAACTGCATTGCCTAAGTTGACGCCAAATTAAATTGCCAGCTCTGGTTTTGTGCATGCTGACAGGGGCAGCGTAGGGCTGGGGTGCCTTCCTTCCAGGATGAGAGCAGGTGATGAGACCTGCATGTCACTCAATCAAGCTGTGTTTTCTACACCATGTGTTTCCTCAAAAGAACACCTTTGAGGAGGAGGAGAGAGGAAAAAATTTAGGAGAGAGGAAAAAATTTACAAAGAGGTCATGTTTGTTTGTCAGGGCTTAGCCCATAAAATGCCTATAAAATTGTATCCTATTATCATTTGAGTTTATCCCATTCGGGACACATTCAGAAAGTTGTAGTCTTCTTTGGAAGGTGTAAGACATTGAGACATTAGCCATTACTGTGTTGATAACACAGAGACTACTTCTCCTGTCATCATTTTCCATGTTTAGTGCATACTTTCAATTTCATTTTTTCAAGGATTATCATTTTTGAAAAGATATCTTTTAAAAAAAAATAGAATCCTCAGCTGGGCACAGTGGCTCACACCTGTAATCCCAGCACTTTGTGAGGCTGAGGCGGGAGGACTGCTTGTGCCCAGGAGTTTTAGACCAGCCTGGACAACACAGTGAGACCTTGTCTCTACCAAAAAAAATAATAATAATAATAATTAACATTTTAAAAAGTAGCCCGGTGTGGTGGCACATGCCTGTAGTCTCAGCTTCTCAGGAGGCTAAGGTGGGAGGATTGCCTGAGCCCCAGAGGTGGAGGCTGCAGTGAGCCGAGATCTCACCATCACTGCAGAACAAGACCCTGTCTCAAAAAAGAAAGAAAGAAAGAATATCTAGACCAGTTCTCCCTGAACACATATGATATGTCAGGCCCTGTGCCGAATGCACTGCAGACCTCATTAATGCTCATCCCAATGGACTAGGTGAGTAGTATTGTAAGCATTCTACAGATAAACTGGGGCTCTGAGAGATTAAGATCTTGCCCCAAATCACAGAATAGTAGCGGTGACCCGGGACTGGGAGTCACGGCCCTCTGACGTTGAAGGCTCTGCCTTCCCAGCAGTGATCTGGGACTGGGAGTCACGGCCCTCTGACGTTGAACGCTCTGCCTTCCCAGCAGTGATCTGGGACTGGGAGTCACGGCCCTCTGACATTGAAGGCTCTGCCTTTCCACCCACGGTCCAAAGGCATCAAGTCAAGAAGTTCCCTTATGGGAAGCACCCCCTCCACTGCCTGCTTCCATGCTGGATGTGCATCCCATCCTTTCACCTGCTGTTTCAGACAAGGGTGTGTCCCATCCCTGACCCTTCACCTCATTCTGGTCCTCCACGACTGTGACCCACGTGTGGTCCACAGAGTCCCTCAGCTGCGAAGACAGAGGCCAAGGTTCTCCCGCGTTAGCCATTGGAAAATAAGTGGCAGGAGCTGTAAGGAGGCAAATTATTTCTCAAACCAAGAATGAAAGTCCTTACAAAGGGCTTTAGTGCTGAGGCCCTGTCATGGTAAGTCCTGGTTTTCTGTCACTGGAGGCATTCCAGAATATTCTATAAATTATGCCATAAAAATACTACATACAAAATTGAATTTGATGACGTATAGGGACCCAAATCAACAGTAAGATTCCAAAATCTTAGGATATATAGTATTTTTTTTTTTTGAGAGGGAGTCTTGCTCTTTCTCCCAGGCTGGAGTGCAATGGCACGATCTCAGCTCACTGCAACCTCAGCCTCCCGAGTTCAAGTGATTCTCCTGCCTCAGCCTCCCAAGTAGCTGGGACTACAGACACGCACCACAGCACCTGGCTAATTTTGTATTTTTAGTAGAGATGGAGTTTCACCATGTTGGCCAGGATAATCGTGAACTCCTGGCCTCAAGTGATCTGCCCCCCTTGCCCTTGCAAAGTGCTAGGATTACAGGTATGAACCACCATGCCCAGCCAGGATATCTAGTATTTCAGTGTCACTTACCTTATTATTAGGCATCTGAAAAACTATTTTTCTTCAGTAAGGTAGGGTGGAAAATTAATTTTTGCTGACTCCAAATTATATTCCCCTAAACATATGTTTGGTTTCGTGGTGGGATTTTTGTTTTGTTTTGTCTTGTTTTTTACCTTTTTTGAGCCATCAGGATCCTCCTCTGGACTCTCTCAGTGATGTCTACATTCCATAGATATTTATTGATTACTTACGACGAAGCAAGCCACTCTCCGATAGACAAAAATGATGCAACAATGAGTAAGACATGGTAAAGGACCTAACTGATTACCTAACAGTGGGAGAAGACCAGGTACAGGAAGTGGAAACTGTTGAGTGTCATAAGAGAAGTACAGATAAAGTACTTAAAAACTCAGAGGTCTCAGCAATGCTTTCACCTGGGAAGATTCTCAGAAGGCTTCCTGGAGAAGGTGGCACTGTGCTGGGCCTTGACACGCGGTTGGATTTGGTCAAGGTGGTGGATGGTGGTGACTGAAAAGGAGATTCAAGAGTCCACGCAGAGGCAGAGAACTGGGGAACAGAGGCCCCTTTGTCTCCTTCCTCTGGAGGAAGATCTTCATGTCAGCACTGCCCTTCATCCTGCCTGTGGGGAGGGTCTGTGCTACCTGACCTCACAGAGCCTTCTGTGGCCGGGGCATTCCCCATACCCTGGGGGATGATGGAACTTGCCTAAAGCTCCGCACCTCTGCTGTCATTTGAGATTTTAGGCTCCTTCAATGAAGTGGCCACATTTGACATTTATCATCCACAGACAGTGCCTCACACATCGCCTGGCACAGAGTGCCAGACAATAGGAATGGGGAGGAAGAGAGGGAAGCAGGAGGATGGGCTGTCTTAGCGAACAGGATGCCACACTCCTGCTCACACCTTTATAAAAGCAGAACATCTAGACTCCCAGAGAATCACCTCGCCATCCTCAGTTATGGAGGCTGGGAGTAGCTTCAACACTTCCCATTCTATAGACATCCACTGAAATGATCCTGATTTTCCTTGTCTTTGCTCCACTATATATATATATATATATATATATATATATGTGTGTGTGTGTGTGTGTGTGTGTATACACATATATATGTGTATATATATATGTGTGTATATATGTGTATATATATATGTGTGTATATATATATATATATATATATATATATATATATATACTTTTTTTTTTAAGACGAAGTCTCACTCTGACACCCAGGCTGGAGCGCAGTGGCGCGATCTCAGCTCACTGCAACCTCTGCCTCCCAAGTTCAAGCAATGCTCCTGCTTCAGCCTCCTGAGTAGCTGGGATTACAGCTGAATGCCCCTACACCTGGCTAATTTTTAATCAGAAAATGTAACTAACTGCATTGCTATAAACTTTGAACACAAGGAACAGAGAATGGATGAACTTGATACTTTTTGTGATTTTCTTAATTTCTTAAATTGCCCAGATACCTTCATCTTTTTGTGGACAGATGTCAAAACACTTTTTACGCCCCTCACCTGTGTGTTTTGTCCATAAAACTAGAACAATATTCATCAAGTTCAGATACTTCCCTAAATGTTTAAAAGGTAAGATGATAACCTTAATTTCCAGTCCTAATTTTAGGAGCAGATACAGGGTTATTGGTTATGGTACTTTTTAAAATAAAGATTAAATTAAATGTCTTATGAGACTAAAACTCTGATCTCTGAATATTGAAATTTCCATTATATGAAGTAATTTTTGCCCAAAATATAATTTCATAACACAGTTCCCCGAACTGATTGAATGAATCTAGATTCAGTCAGTCTTCTATGGTTAATAAAATCTATAGTGAACCCAAAGAAATGCTGGTCTGCATAAAGTCACATTAATGCAGGCTGCCTATTGTTAATAAAAGTACTTTCAAGAGATTAAATCATTAGTAATGTTTTAAGATTTTTGTATTAATTATGTCAAACCAAATGGGTAAATACATAAAGGAAAAATCAAAAATGTGCATATTTTCTAAAACAAAAGAAATCCTTCCCAAGCTAAGACTTTATTGAATAATTCCATTGAGATGCAACTCTCATCAAGAACTCACCAAGGGAGCACATGTACACACAGGATCTTTCAAACGGTATCGGAAACTTCCTTGCCCCAAATGACTCCTCCCGAAGTAACGAATAACCTACATGTTCACCGGGTCAGATGCACATTCAAGGCAAACACTAATGCTGGGAGGAACATAGGGATTTGCTCACTAAGTTCTCCTTTTACAGCCAGAATGACCACAAGTCCTATTAACACAAGAGCCGGGGTCAGATGTGTGACTTTGTATCTCCTGGGCCATCTTCCATGCTGAGACAAAATGGTCTGGATGGGGAGAAGCACCCCGGCAGTTGGCACTCACACAGCGGTCAGCAGCTGACAAAGAGCCCAGAGAGACTCTGAGAATGAGCAGAACACATGCTCCATGCAGGGCACGAGGATGACATGGCCACAGAGAACTGTGCCTGTGTCCATGGTTGGCCCAGGTGGTATCAGACCAACAGAGAAGATTGAGGAATCAGAAATACTGATGACGTTCTGAGCACAGCAGATGCCTGTGCACATATTGGCAGCTACCAGCCTTAGGGGTCAATGTATCACACAGCTTAATGGAACGTCCACTGCTTCCAGACCTCCTGGGAGATGCAGGTCATAGACTGTGTCCATTATGTGGATCAGACTAAGAGAATCAACCCACTGACCAGGCCTCTGCTAAGCACCTATGAAGATGTTGCCATACAACCCAACTAAATGGTCATGGGGAAATCAGACAATAAAAAGACATGGATGCTTGTCAGCACAGGAAAAGGAAACAGCAGAGTGAAAAGACAACTCACAGAATGGGAGAAAATGTCTGCAAACTGCCCATCTGACAAGGGACTAAGAACCAGAATATACAAGGAGCTCAAATAACAGAAAAAAAAAAAAATTCAAAAATGGGCAAAAGACCTGAATAGGCATTTCTCAAAAGAAGACATACAACGGGCCAACAGGTATGTGACAAAAGATTCACCACCACTAACCATCAGGAAAATGCAAATCAAAACCACGATGAGATGTCACCTCATCCCAGCTAGAATGGCTATTATCACAAAGACAAAAAACCAGCAAATGCTGTCACAGGTGCGGAGTAAGGGGAAAGCTTGCACACTGCTGGTTGGAATATGAAGTAGCCACTATGGAAAGCAGTATGGAGATTTCTCAAAAACTAGAAATAGAACCACCATGTGATCCAGTCATTGTCCTGCTGGGCATAGACCCAAACAAAAGGAAATTCATATGTCAAAGGGATTTCTGCACCCACATGTTTATTGCAGCATTATTCATGTTAGCCAAGATATGGAAGAGACCTAGGTTCCCATCAGTAGAAAAATGGATAAAGAAAATGTGGTAAGAAAGTAATGTGTGTGAATAATATTCACAGTGGAATATTATTCAGCCATAAAAAAAGGAATTAAGTCTTGTCATTTGGAGCAACATGGATGGAATTGGAGGTTATTATGTTAAGTGAGATAAGCCAGGCACAGAAAGATAAACACTGCGTAATCTCACTCTGATGTAGAGCTCAGGCGGGCGCAGTGGCTCATGCCTGTAATCCCAGCACTTTGGGAGGATAAGGCAGGCAGATCACCTGAGGTCAGGAGTTTGAGACCAGCCTGGCCAACATGGTGAAACCCTGTCTCAACTAAAAATACAAAAGTTAGCCAGGCATGGTGGCGCACGCCTGTAATCCCAATCCCAGCTACTCAGGAGGCTGAGACAGGAGAATCGCTTGAACCTGGGAGGCAGAGGTTGCAGTGAACCAAGATCACGCCACTGCACTCCAGCCTGGGCAACAAGAGGGAGACCCCATCCAAAAAAAAAAGCAGAGCTCATCAAGGTGGAGAGTAGATTGGTGGTTACCGGAACAGGAGAGAGGAGGAAGAGAAGTTGATTCATACTAATGGGTACAAAAATACAGTTAGGTGGAAGAAATAAGTTCTAGTATACAATAGTACAGTAAGAAAACATGGTTAATAATGTATCATGTATTTCAAACTAGCTAGAAGAATTGTAATGTTCCCAACACACACACATAAATGTTTGAGGTGATGCACGTCCCAGTCATCCTGATTTGATCTTAGCACACTGTAGACATCTGTTCAAATATCATATGTGCCCCCAATAATATGTACAACTGTGATAAATCCATTAAAAACACACAGAAACGTGCTCAAAAACATGAAAATCATGAGGCTCGAGATCTTGAAAGGAGATTTCTGGGAGCCATAGCTTAGGCAGACCCCACTACAAAATTAGTTACAAGGGAATCTCAGGGGATCACAGGGGTTACAAATACTCAAATGATCATTTCCGACTCTCTGCAAATTTTATAAAAATCCATCTCAAATATTAGAACACCAGAATAGTGTGAATTATGTTACTTCATACCAAATTTAGATAGAATTGGAATTATAGAAAAAATAAAAGAGCCAAGTGTGTTAATCAAATTTCTTTGTACATGGAAGGCAAGGGTTCTAGCAGGTTCTTTGTGAATTTGCATTCTGATGAGAATTAGTCCTTAGTATAGCTCCTGCAAGTGTCTAAACTATGGCAAAATTAGAGACATATACTGGGAGAGAATAAATTGAATTTTCACTTCAACTTCTTTGCAATTATAGGAAGCTACTTACATTATAGGCATCAGATAGGATCATTCTCACTCACTGAACAGCAAAATTCTCCTACCATTAGCAGGCATGTCATTAGCTACACTTTTTGACATTCATTATCTCTCCCTAGCAATATTCAATTTATTCCCTTTATAATAACTCTCCACTACATTAAATCGATACCAAGATTTTGCCCATGTGTTCATGTTGTGTTAAAGAGTATAAATTGAAGTACTTTGTATTAACAGTTCAGTTGAATTCCATTTTAAGGGGAATGTGAAAATTGGGAATTAAACTTCAAATTTTAAGAAACTGATTGACTTTTAAATTACAGTTTGAGGAAGCATAGAGTTGGCAAAATAAATTCATTTATTCATCCACTTCTATATATTTCTGCAGCAACGACTTACTTAAAATAGTCCCTTTAAATATCTTCATTAATTACCCAGGTTTTAGAATACAAAAGAAATAGAAATTCAACATTTCAAAAGCAAAGATGATTCCTCCCCTCGTCATCAGCGAGTCCAGGGCTGCAGAACACGTTCATTTTGGGGGCAGTGGAATGCACAGGAAGGATGAGGAGCTTTCACTGTCACCCCTGTCAAGAAACCACTCAAACCCCACCGCCTCCAGCTGCTTCTCGACCGACTGCAGCGGCCCCTCCACTCCCCTCACCCCCAGACTCACCCCAACTCAGAGCCCTGCCAGCTCCATCCCGTGCCATGTGGCCAGGGGCTCCTGGCTTCCTTCTCCAGTCCTCCCCTCCCTTCTCTGTTCCCAGGCTGGCTGGTAAATCAGATCCAAGGAAGAGCAGCCTGTCTTGAAGTGGATTTGTGAACGGCACAAGGCCCCGGTGTTAAGATGCCCGACAGACAACCTTCCATCCTTCTTTTCAAGACAGAAACAATGCCAAAGTGTTATCCGAGTTACTTGCTTTTATTAAAAGTTATGCTTTTTTCATCTTTTTCATACCCTAGAAGCAATGGAGAATTAGGTGATATTCAGGAACTATTGTCACCTTCGTGGGGGTGACAGTGGCCCTGGGTCTACAAGGTGGTCGCAGGTAAAGGCCTCAGGAAGAGAGAACACAGGACAACACTTACTGCCGTCTCCACGGAATGGGGAGGGAGCTGTGGGTTATACTCTTCTTTCCCATTTTCTGCATGTGTGAAAGGTTTCATAATAAAACTTTGGGGAGCAAAACAATCTTCATTTTAGAAAAATAAGACAAGACAGAAAAATAGGTTTTTAAGTCCATTATCCTACCCAGGAGAAAATCACTTTGAAGAACACATGGTACAGATTGCCAGACCTTCATGTTCTAAAAAATGAGGGAGGCACCGCACACACTGCTGTGTAGTTGACTTCTGGGTCACGGCGTGCCATAAGCCCTTTCAAATCAAGGTTATCTCTGCAACGTCATTTTCAACTGGCTCATAGCATTTTATTACATGAACATTAAGACCCTTTGTGCCCATGAAATGCGGTTCTTTTTCCCGAAAGTCGGGCTAAGGAGGAGACACTGCAGCACCCTGGCTTGGGCAGCAGGATGCCAGTTTCTGGATCGTGTGCAATGAATCTCACCAGTAACTGTCTCTAGGACTGACTGTTAAGGAATGTTTGGGGGAAGAGCTGTTGTGGAAGAACCTACACGAGGATTGGGTTCACTTCCCTGGACCTCGGTTTCGACTTCTGGAAAGGCTGTCTAGGCTTCCACAGTCAGGTGTGCCCTGGGAGCCAGCAAGGGCATCTCCTAAACGTAGAAAGAAACGGACTTTCTGGCCCCACCCGGACCCCGTGAGTCAGGCCATGCCCGGCACAAGATCCCCAGGTGAGGCACAGGTGGGTCTGCAAGGCCCCTTGAGCTCCAAGCACCTGCATGTGTCTAGGCAAAACCTCCAGCACATCGGTATTCCCTTGTGAAGTACGTAAAGCCACAGATTAAGTGGGGATGGATCTCTCGCCTCTGCGTTCAAGGGGGCAAATCTCCAGGATAAATGCCCCCTTTTCCTACACCATTTTCCACCAGCCTTGGAGAGTCAGCTTCCCATGGCTTCCTTCCAACGGAAGCAGGAGAAAGGGCTGGGCTAGTTAAACCGCAGCACTTTCAGTTTTAGGGTGTGTCGTGTAGGTTAGTGATTTGTGCTCTGCAGAGACTCTCCAGGGAGAGCAAAAAGAGCAGGTGGAATCATCAGCTTGGCCAGAAGACGCAGATGACGCCCCGTGAGCCAGCTCAGGAAAGACGGCCCCACCTTGAAGGGCCCACGCTGAAAGCCAGTGATGGGGAGACGTGGTGTGAACTGAGAGGTGATGAGATGCGTAGATCATCTGCCCCCTGCCTGGTGGGCAGCCCTGGCCCCACGTGCTGACCCAGGCACAGAAAAGCCACATACGTGTACTGGGCACGCTCTATGGAAGAACGGTGAATTGTTGCTCTGGCAAATAATACCCAGCAGAGATCAGTGGGCCCAGGGTGCACTGGTAAGAAATGGGTTCCAGTCGATTCCTGTGTGGTTTTGAGGATCATGGTGAGCTAGGATCTACCAAAGCAGCTGTTTACAAAGTGGTGACCATGCTGACAGCAGACTCAAGAGAGGGTGTGGGGCCGGGTGCGGTGGCTCACGCCTGTAATCCTTGGCCTTGGGAGGCCAAGGCGGGCTGATCACCGGAGGTCAGGAGTTCGAGACCAGCCTGGCCAACATGGTGAAACGCTGTCTCTACTAAAAATACAAAAATTAGCCAGGCATGGTGGCATGCACCTGTAATCCCAGCTACTCGGGAGACTGAGGCAGGAGAATCACTTGAATTCAGGAGGTGGAGGCTGCAGTGAGCCAAGATGACGCCACTGCAGTCCAGCCTAGGTGACAGAGCGAGACTCCATCTCAAGAAAATAAATAAATAAAACAAAATAAACACACACACATACAGTATATTCTTTTAAAAAACTTTACAGCCAGGCACGGTGGCTCACGCCTGTAATCCCAGCTTTTTGGGAGGCTGAGATGGGTGGATCACCTGAGGTCGGGAGTTCGAGACCAGCCTGACCAACATGGAAAAACCCCATCTATACTAAAAATACAAAATTAGCCAGGCATGGTGGCATGCACCTGTAATCCCAGCTACTTGGGAGGCTGAGGCCAGAAAATTGCTTGAACCTGGGAGGTGGAGGTTGCAGTGAGCCAGGATTGCGCCACTCCACTCCAGCCTGGGCGATAAAGGGAGACCCTATCTCAAAAAAAAAAAAAAAAAAAAAAAAAAAAAAAATTAGTATTTGATTAACCAAATAAAGTCATTGCAATTAGGAACCATTTGTAGATTAATTCTTCCTACTGAACTGTGGCCTGCTGACTCATAGCACACTCAGAAATGTAGCGTTAGCATTACACATATACTGGGTACATGGATTGGTGAGTTTAGTAGCTGTGAGCATATTCAGTAACTTGTGACCCTTTTACCATCTCCAGGAGGGAAGCCACATCTTCCTACGTGCTACGACCTTCCTGTGAGGCCTCTGTCCACGCAGCCTCTTCCTACGTAACACACACCTCACAGCACTGCCAGGAGATAACTGCCCACAGTTCATTAGAAATTATTTAATTGAATCCAATGAGAGAACCCATATGGATGTGTTTTTTCTAAAAATGAAGGAATTCACATCTAAAAGAGTTCACTAACATGTTAGAGTCCATAAAAATAGGAAGAACTCGATGTTGCTTTCACTCACACGTGTTCTTGTGTCTTCCAGCTCATCCAAACAGCAGCACTGAAATAATCTCGATGCCAAAATAAGGAAAACTCCCTGAGGTATAGGCCGCCTTTCTAAACTAAGTTTCTCCCAGTACCCAAGGAGAATGTCCTCACAGTGACATCTGGTCATCTCTGGATTTCCTTCATGAGTTGGGGACGAGCACACTAAGGCACGAGTCACCAGCGAACACGCTCAGCACGATGAAGTCGTCAGTTTTCATCTCCAGTGGGACTCGCTCCCTTGGTGTGATGTTTCTGCTTTTGTGTAATTGACCCAGTTTTGAAGTTGTTGTTTTTTTGTTTTTGTTTTTGTTTTAAACAGTTCTCGGTAAAATCAGGAGTGCTGTTGGGAGTGCCCAGCTTCTCATGTCCCAGAAATTCCAGCAGTTTTATTGGCTTTGCCAACAGAATATGGTAAGTGAATCCTCAGTGAACCCCTGTTCCCTGTAACCAAGCTAATGGGCATCATTCCACAGATTCTCATTGTTTTCTTCCTTGTCAAAGAGTTCCCATCGGTATGCGGAATATCACGTGCACTTACTACAGAAGAGGCTTCCCGCCCTGGGGAAAGAGACGATTCGGCCCTGGTTTAAACGCGGTACCGAGGCAGGGAGGCGGATACGGCCCTGGTTTAAACGCGGTACCGAGGCAGGGAGGCGGATACGGCCCTGGTTTAAACGCGGTACCGAGGCAGGGAGGCGGATACGGCCCTGGTTTAAACGCGGTACCGAGGCAGGGAGGCGGATACGGCCCTGGTTTAAACGCGGTACCGAGGCAGGGAGGCGGATACGGCCCTGGTTTAAACGCGGTACCGAGCCAGGGAGGCGGATACGGCCCTGGTTTAAACGCGGTACCGAGGCAGGGAGGCGGATACGGCCCTGGTTTAAACGCGGTACCGAGGCAGGGAGGCGGATACGGCCCTGGTTTAAACGCGGTACCGAGGCAGGGAGGTGGATATGGCCCTGGTTTAAGCAGTACCGAGGCAGGGAGGCTGCAAGGGGGAGTGGAGGACAGGAAGAGGCGGGCTGCAGCAGCGCGGCGTGACACTGTGTCTTTGCAACTGGATGCCCCACCAGAGCATCTTAGAAGAGGAGAAACAAGGGAAATTTCTATTACGGCTAATGTCACAAATGAAGAAAATGATCTAAGGTGCCTGGAAATAAAAATACATAAACAACTACAATGAAGAGATTAAGAAGAGATTTTGCAAATAATTTAGCCTTTGTATTTTATAGTCGGTAGTGAAACGAATATACCATGAACTAGATGATTAATACAGTTGACGTTAAACTTGGTTATTCCTGACAAGCAAACAAAAAGAAAAACCACATATATATTTACATATACTTACATATATACATGTTAATATATACTTACATATGCTTATATATAAATATATATACACATATTAATATATAAATATATATTTGCTATTTCTGGCAGAGCAGAAAAGCTCATATATACATCTCATATATATTAGATGTATACAAGATTATAATCATATGCATCTATATGTTTATATATACACCTATATATAAACATATATAGGTGTATTTATATATAAACATATATATTAACATGTATATGAAATTTTACTTATGTATCCTTATATATACATGCTAAACATTAACATATAACAAATATATAACATATTAACTACATATTTTATAAATACAAATATATAGTATATATAAAATATATAGTATGTGTGTAGGCAAATATACAGTATATATAAAACATGTAAGTTTACATGGTAATATATTTTATATATACATTTGCCTACACACATGCATACATATACATTCTATATATACTGTATATCTAAGTTTACATATACATGTTAATATATTTTATATATACTATATATTTGCCTACACACATACATGTATACTTTTCCTTGGCTGACTAAAGTATTCACTATTTTGAGAAATAGTAAATAATAGTTATGCTACTTAATAAGTTGTTTTATAATACATACATCGATTTCTTTTCAGACCAAACATTTTCAGTCAAATGCAAATAGGTCTTCTCTAGGCCTCGCGTAGCAATGGTGCCAGGTGTTTTGATGATGTTTTCCTTGGCTTTTTCACGTGCAAGGAGACATAAGAATATTCTTACACATCAAAGGATGCACAAGCAAGCCAGAGTTGCCATCTCATGTCTTTTCCTTAGGATCATTAAAAAGTATGCCTTCTCTAATACTTTCCAATCAACCCCACTGAAGTTCACGGCGATTTTAAAGAGTCACCAACACATCACTCTGACAAAGTTATAATCATCATTTAAAAGAGGGAAATAGAAAGGTTTTGAGTGCCTCGAAAGAAGCCTGTAACTGTGTAAACATTCAGCTGCCATGTCACCTGTGAACGTTCTTGCCTCCTCCATAGTATCTATTTGATTATTACCTTTAAAGGAATTGATTCGGGCCACTGACGAACTCTGTGTAACATTATGCAGACTCGCGTGAGCCTAGGCAGGCACTGTCTTTAGGAATGCTCATCCAAAGCTTCCCACACACAGCCCAAGGTGCATATTCAGACCTGCTAAATGTTCCTTTCTGCTCTGCCAGAAATAGCTAATATTTGGCTTAAAATTGTTCATCCTAATATTTGTTATGCCTTTTGAGTTTTAAAATAGCTGGCTTGGCTACATCCTTTTCTTTCAACTTCTATTCAGGATTAGTAGAAAAACACTTTGACACGTTTGGGGCGGAAGAGTGGTACAGGGAGGGGTGGTGCCTGAGACAGGCCTGGCAGGAGAGGAGTGTTGACTTGTTAAGAGATGCTTCGCTCATCAAAGCCAAATGGTCCGCAGCGCAAAGTAGCACCGCTGTCTGCTGGAAGTTGTTGGTAGGTAACTAAGCTTTAAGTCAAAGAGCGACCCTAGAAAATGTCAGAACCCCAGCCCGAGATTGAGGACTGACCACAGGGAGCGGATCCTTTCGGGACGGACCGCGGGGGGCAGAGCCTCTCAGGGTTGGGATGTGCAGGTGGCTTGTGACACAACCAGAAGGCACATAATACCGGAAATAACTTAACCTCAAAGCGTGTGGCCTGATTGCTGTGCTTGTGGGACCAGCAGTTTGGTGTCCCCAGAAACTTAGTCTCATTCACACCCACTGAGCCTGCCTCTGAATTTTAACTCCATCCAACCCCGGGGGGTGTGTGCCTGAGCAGGTGCCGGCGCACAGAGAGCTGCCCCAGGCCACACGGGGCACCGAAGTTCCTATCCAATGGACGCCGGATGCCAGAGCCACAGAGCTGTGTGAATTTAAAAGACGGCAATTTCACAAGGAAAGAGGCCCTGCATGAGTTTGCTGGGGGAAAGGGAATGGCATGGCACAACCATTGACTTTTTTTTTTTATTATAAACACCTTATCGTCTCTGAATGTTCAGTGGATTCAGATGCAACCACCTCCCCAACCAAAAGAGAACAGAAGACAAAACCAAACCCTGACCCTGCCAGGCTGTGCCCGTCCGGCCCCAGCATGTGGTCTGGGTGAGCCCAAAGGACGGGTGTGTTGTTGCCGAGGAGAGGAGGGGGGCACGGGAAGGCGATGCCTGCTCTCAGGCAGCCTCTGCCACAGTGGCCGGCCATGTTCCTCCTTCATCCCCCAGGAGATGTGACCAGGACCACCCAGCTGCGGGCGAGGGAGGAGAAGCCACTCCGCTTCCCCCACACCATCAGGCACAGCCGTGCCCGGCCCTACAGAAAGAGGGGCACAGCCATGACCGGCCCTACAGAAACAGGGGGCACAGCCATGCCCGGCCCTACAGAAAGAGGGGGCACAGTCATGCCCGGCCCTACAGAAAGGGGGCACAGCCATGCCCGGCCCTACAGAAAGAGGGGGCACAGCCATGCCCGGCCCTACAGAAAGAGGGGGCACAGCCTTACCCGGCCCTACAGAAAGAGGGGGCACAGCCTTACCCGGCCCTACAGAAAGAGGGGGCACAGCCATGTCCGGCCCTACAGAAAGAGGGGGCACAGCCATGCCTGGCACTACAGAAAGAGGGGGCACAGCCATGCCCGGCCCTACAGAAAGGGGGCACAGCCATGCCCGGCCCTACAGAAAGAGAGGGCACACCCATGCCCGGCCCTACAGAAAGAGGGGGCACAGCCTTGCCCGGCCCTACAGAAAGAGGGGGCACAGCCATGCCCGGCACTACAGAAAGAGGGGCACAGCTGTGCCCAGCCCTACAGAAAGAGGGGATGTTCTTAGGTTGGCGAAGACTTCTGGAAGCCAGGTAGGAACCACCCCTACAGCCTCTGAGCAGCCTCCCCTGCTGCTTGTCACCTGGCCTGGCCTGCCCTGAGGCTGCAGCTCCTGGCATCCCTCGACTGACTTCGGTGCAGAACGTGGCCTCCTTGCCAGGCACTTTAGTTATCCCCACCCACAGAGGCTGAGTTCGGGCTCCCAGCCGCTGGCCAGGGCCGCCCTCCTGGGGAGCTCCTCAAGTGCCTGGGGGGGCTTTGAGTGGCCAAGGCTGCCCTCGTGTGGCTGCAGAGAAGAACGGGCTCAGCCGCGCGGAGGGCAGCTGGGGGCCCCAGGTCCTGGCTCTGGGTGAGGAATCGCAGAGCTGTCCGTTCAGCATGCTCTTCACTGAGCATGCTGAGTGTGCACTGCTGAAACCATAAGCAAATCCAGTTGAATGTTGACCCACCAGAACCTCCTCTGACTCTTTTAAATCCCCACTGAATCAAGGGAGCCACACCTGGAAAAATCATTCAGATTTCAATGTAGGGAGCAAGCCGGGCATGGTGGCTCACCCTGTAATCCCAGCACTTTGGGAAGCTGAGGCAAGAGGGTTGCTTGAGCCCAGGAGTTTGAGGCCACCCTGGGCAACACAGCCAGACCCCATTGCTACAAAATTAAAGAAATTAGCTGGGTGTAGTGACCTATGCCTGTGGTCCCAGCTACTTGGGAGGCTGAGCAGGCAGGATCCCTTCAGCCCAGGAGGTAGAGGCTGCAGTGAGCCATGATCACACCTGTGCTCCAGCCTGGGCGACAGAGAAAGACCCTGTCTCAAAAATAACATAAATAAATGTAGGCAGCTGGTGGAAATCATGTATCTGTCAGGCACTGGGCAGAGAAACCAAGCACGTCTCTGGGCCACTCGGCCCAGGGCTGCAGCCCAGCAGCGTCACCTGTGCCTCCTAAGTGTGGGCGCCGGTTGGTGAGAGCATCCTGTTCCTTGGCGCATTACATTTGTAAGGTGTCATCACCGTAAGAACGAGAGCTAAGAGCCGTCAGAGAACAAGCAGGTATAGAATGGGCTCCAAGCTGGTTCCCCACTGCCACCACCAGGCCAATACCACGGCAGGCTCACGGAGCCCTGTCCCTTCCGAATCATCCACAGGTGACCAAAAACACAGGCTCCTACTGCTTTTATGAGCTGTGAAGCATTTAGAAACTCTCCCATCTGCCCCATTCCCAGCATTTTCAACGTGGAACAATGAACAGCTGTGCTACGTGTTTTTAGGCCGACAGCAAATACGTGTGCTAAAGTAAACTGTCATGGAAGCATGGCCTTCCCAAGTATCTGCCTCAGGCTGGAATTAGCCAGGCTTCTCCCTAATCCGCCTCTTGAAAGGCATGCGTGGGGAGGAGTGGCCTCCCCAGCCCTGTGCCCGCAGGAGACTCTCCTGGCTCTGAACACCCTGTGTGTGTCCCCAGGACCCCAGCGCCATGCCGAGGCCGACGTCGCAGGACCTGGCCGGCTACTGGGACATGCTGCAGCTCTCCATTGAGGACGTCAGCATGAAGTTCGACGAGCTGCAGCGGCTGCGGCTCAACGACTGGAAGATGATGGAGTCCCCGGAAAGAAAGGTAAGGGCATCCATGCAGGGCCGGCTCCCAGCAAACCCCCTTTCTCACTGCACTAACGACCTGCTGCAGACAGAGCATGACAACGGGGTTCTCAGTCTTTTGCTGGCAACACACGAGCAAATTTCCCTCTATGTATGTGTGCACATGTGTATACGCACATGTGTGTGCGTGTGTGTGCATGTGCCGAAAATGGGGCAGAATTGAAGCCTTGGGCATGGGTGGTAAATAATAGGGTCTCCCCTGCTCTGTCTCTTCTATATAAGCCTTTCAGAGAGACACTAGCCAAGATCACAAGCAAACCTGCAGCCTCATTCCTGACAGGGGTCTCACCTATGAATTATCTTTATCAAACTTGTTCTCATTGTGTAAATATTAAGCTGGCTTCCCACAGGGAAAGTTTTAGGCCTGGTTATGGACTATCTCCTATTCAATATACCTTCTAGTATGGCCACTATAGGCAAGGCGACATTTTATACCTTATTGAACCGTTTGATGAATTAATCTTCCTGTAGATCCATCAGCCTCAACCCTTAAAATAGGCTGAAATTTGCCATTAAATCTGAACCCTGGCATTTCACTTCTTCCGTGATGCTGTCATCAGAAGAACTAGTAGATAGTTCTGAGTTAGCAGCAAAGACATAGATTTCCTCACACGTTTTAAAGACGTCCTGAGGAACCATAAATGGATTTTTCTAGACAAATGTTATTAATTAAAATGATAAAGAAAATCAAGTCAGCATCCTTTGGGGAAGTGGTGTTTGGTATCCAGCAAGGATGCACACCTGGGTCATGAGAACGAGAGCCAGATCTAGTGGTCATCATCATCGGCTCCTCCCAGAAGGTGCCCTGGCCACTAGTGGAGTTCCAGGCCAGATGCAATGGATCCACAGGTTCCCTCTCATCCCAGACGACAGGGGAGTGAGGTGGGAGTGCACAGGGTCCACGTAAGCCATGCGTGGGACAGGTCCACATAAGCCATGCATGGGACTAGGCAGGTCCACTTAAACCATGTGTGGGACAGGTCCATGTAAGCCATGTGTGGGACTAGGCAGGTCCACGTAAGCCATGCATGGGACAGGTCCACGTAAGCCATGCGTGGGACTAGGCAGGTCCAAGTAAGCCATGCATGGGAGTAGGCTGGTCCACGTAAGCCATGCATGGGACAGGTCCACGTAAGCCATGCGTGGGACTAGGCAGGTCCACGTAAGCCACACATGGGACAGGTCCATGTAAGCCATGCATGGGACTAGACAGGTCCAAGTAAGCCATGCATGGGACTAGACAGGTCCAAGTAAGCCATGCTTGGGACAGGTCCATGTAAGCCCTGCATGGGACTAGACAGGTCCAAGTAAGCCATGCGTGGGACAGGTCCATGTAAGCCATGCATGGGACTAGACAGGTCCAAGTAAGCCATGCGTGGGACAGGTCAGTGTAAGCCATGCATGGGACTAGGCAGGTCCACATAAGCCATGCATGGGACAGGTCCACATAAGCCATGTGTGGGACTAGACAAGTCCAAGTAAGCCATGTTTGGGACAGGTCTGTGTAAGCCATGCATGGGACTAGGCAGGTCCACATAAGCCATGCAGGGGACAGGTCCATGTAAGCCATGTGTGGGACTAGGCAGGTCTGCGTAAGCCATGCATGGGACTAGACAGGTCCCAGTAAGCCATGCATGGGACTAGGCAGGTCTGCATAAGCCATGCATGGGACAGGTCCACGTAAGCCATGCATGGGACTAGGCAGGTCCACATAACCCATGTGTGGGACTAGACAGGTCCGTGTAAGCCACGGTTTGGATCTGAGGTGAAGGAGATGATCAGTGATGCTCCTGAGGGAGAAGGCTGTTCAAACGGAACGTACTGACGTTAGCCCAGGTGCACACGATGGTTCCGTCTAGTCTCCATTCTTTGGTCATTGAGAGCAAACGTGAGCCCATCTACCCAAGCTGCGCATAGAGTATGATTCTCAAAATGGAAACGTCTTTGGGAGGCCAAGGTGGGTGGATCACGAGGTCAGGATATCAAGACCATCCTGGCTAACACGGTGAAACCCCATCTCTACTAAAAATACACAAAATTAGCCGGGCACAGTGGATCACGCCTGTAATCCCAGCACTTCGGGAGGCCTAGGCAGGTGGATCATGAGGTCAGGAGATCAAGATCATACTGGCTAACACGGTGAAACCCTGTCTCTATTAAAAATACAAAAAAAAAAAAAAAATTAGCCAGGCGTGGTGGTGGGCGCCTGTAGTCCCAGCTACTCAGGAGGCTGAGGCAGGAGAATGGAGTGAACCCGGAAGGCAGAGCTTGTAGTGAGCCAAGATCGTGCCACTGCACTGCAGCCTAGGCAACAGAGTGAGACTCTGTCTCAAAAAAAAAAAGAAAGAAAATGGAAATGGTTTCTCGCTGAGGGCAGAGCACGCCAGTCCAGAAAGCGAGCAGATCTCCAGCACAGCAGAGGCTCCGTGCCTGAACAGGAGGCCCTGCCCCTCCTGAACACGGCGTCTTAAAAATTCCCTGGGATGGGCCCTGCACAGCATCTGCTGGACACTCCTACAGTGCCACACCCGCAGGCCTGGAAGCTCCTTTGATTGGGGAACCCCCACAGGAAATACTGATGTGTACATCTCACAGGCTCACAGTTCAGGGGACACCAAAAGAGGAAACAGATCCTCTTCTCTCCTTTTCTCTTGGCATCCCCTGAACTATGAGGACAGTTATGTGCTGAAAAAAGGAATTACTTGTTAAAGTAGCTGAAGGTTTCAATGAACTGATCCCCCCCATTGTTTTAGATGGATGCCAAGAAGTCAGGTAAGAGTCATTGCTTCTGGCCTAGTCACGTAAAACAAGCCGAGGGAACAAAGTTCCAGACACCAAAGCAGGCTTCTTGCCACAGGCCTCCTCCGTACTCACACAACTGCCTGTCTTCCCCCAATCTACAAGCACCTCTGGGCTCCCTTTGGAATTTTTCAGAGGCTGAAGAGAAAAAGACATGAGTGGAGTTTTCCTGTTTTTCTCCCCCAAAACTAGATATCTGCTTAGGAAAGTGGTTCTGACGCCTTCTGCCGTGTGCCCTTTCCTGGGAAGGAAACAGCTGGCTACGGAGAGTCCCTGTCATGGCTCTGTCCAGAAGGGGAGACGGGGCAGGTCCCACTGTCTTTAGGAACAATGTGAATCACGGGGCAGGTCCCACTGTCTTTAGGAACAATGTGAATCGCAGAGTTAGGGACACAGACCTTTTGTGGGAACAAGTGCAAGCATTACCCTTTGCATGTGTTGCATAATTGTGAGATTTATCTAAAACGGCATACACGTATTTTAGCGTGACTTATCTGAGAGTCTGAGCTAAGGGTGAGAAATACTTGCGTCTTTTTACAAAGCAGGCAAGTGAATAGTGGTTTTATAAATATCGTCCACGTCAATGGGATTTTAGGCCAATTAGCGAATCGGGCCAGTGTTTCCCCGCACACCCATTCACGTAAGATGGTTTTCATGAACATACTGGAATCCCAGAGTCTGCAGAAAACCCTGCAGTGTTGAATAGGGATGTCCAGCGATGGTGTCCAAAACCCTCGCGATGCTCGGAGATGACACAGGGCTTTGGGAAGCGCAGGAATCGGGCGACAATGTCAGACTAGCGCAGTGACTGCAGAGACGCAAGGTGCGAATCTGCAGAATTTCTTTCCTGATTTGTCCACGCTGCCCCTGACGCCTCTGCCCCCTTTGGAGAGTGCGAGGGAGCTTCCACAAATCCCATCCTGTGCAGAAGGCAGGCCTGTGGCCTGGGAGCCGGGGACCAGGGCAGACGGGGGACGGGAGTGAAGGATGCGGCCCTGGGGGCTGCGGTCGGGAAGGGTCAGGCCAGGCCCCAGGGCCGCTGAGCTCGCGAGCTGCTGGGACCCTCCTCCGAGCACCTGCCAACGGTGACTTGCGCTGCTTTTCAGGAAGAAAGAAAGGTCCCGCCTCCAATACCAAAGAAGCCTCCCAAGGGGAAGTTTCCCATCACAAGAGAAAAATCCCTGGACCTGCCCGACAGACAACGCCAGGAAGCCCGGAGGCGCCTCATGGCCGCCAAGCGAGCGGCGTCCTTCCGGCAGAATTCCGCCTCCGAGCGCGCGGACAGCATCGAGATCTACATCCCCGAGGCCCAGACCCGGCTCTGAGGGCGGAGGCCGGCGCCTTCCCCTCGTCGCTTCCGCTTTCCCGGACGCTTGTGCAGCGCGGCGCCGCCCTGGTGGTTTCTGTCTCCTCCTCCCGCTGAACACGTCCTCGCTCCCGCGCTCCCCGCGCCCCGGACACAGCGGGACGCGGCCGGCGGCCTCAGAGTCCACGGAGCTCGCGGCGAGGACGACTTCTGCTTTTGTTGTTGTTGTTGTTGTTCACGGGTGGCCTGGCTCACACTTGGCTCTGAGGGACAGGTGTGGCGAGACCTGATTTCTCCTGCGTGTTCTCAGAGGACGGCGAGAAATGCCTCTGGAGCTGGAACCCAGCTTACATTTTGTTATTTCTATTTTTATAAATTGTGTGATAATTAGAGGTAAGAATAACAAGTAACTATAAACGGGTGCATCCCACCACTCCCTGGAGGCATTAGACACCCAAGTGGAAGGTGCTACAACCTGAAGCGCAGGAAAGAAAGGCCCATTCCCCTCGCACAGCCGAGCTTTTACTCCCTGAGCACGGGCCGCTCCGCTCCCCTGCTCCTGTCTGTCTCGGACAGAAAACACGAGGCTCCTTGTGTCAAGCTTCCTGTGATGGAAAGCGACCTCTCCAACCACCACACTCCCCGCCGTACAGTTCTCCAGAATCCCAGGCGATGACAAGTCTGAACCCACGAAAATACCCAGCGCAGCATCTACACATTCAAAAGATAAGCTGAGTGTTCCCACCAGGAAGTCACGCGCAGAGAGGAGAGTCTTACGGAGGGCTGGGAGCTTAAAAGGAAAACAATGTCCTTACTTGTAAACAGTTATTGTATTTTTTATTTCTTTCTAACTTAAAATACGACACCCAGTATTTTCTTTAAGTTTCACCATTTACGCTACATGTGATTTTTTTAATGTATGTATATATATATATTCTCAAATTGCTCTATCAGCTGACTTTTCAGGGTATCCTTAAAAAAAAACACACACGAAAAACAAAAGTTTGCTTGTTTAAAATGACAGTTGTGATGTAAAAAGTTTAAGAAATATGAATGTGAGTGGTAAGTATATCTCAGTTTAAATGGTAAAGAAGAAATGTAGTTTACATTTGTATTTTTCCAGAATTCTTTTGTCCTATGCAGTATTGCTAAAGTCGAGAATATATTCCTTGCCTGTGTTAGACATGAAGGGAAAAAGAGGTCACATATTGTGATTTCCAGCTGTAGCATTCAAAAAAAAAATTGGTGTTCATGACTCTGTGGTCGGTGCCAGAGGAAAATAGGAACGACTCTAATTAATAGGCTTTCTGTGTATATAATTAAATTTAGCTGCTGCAACCATTGTTCTGACACGACTTCTGTTTCACAGTTCAGACCGGTCTTCAAAGGAAAAGCCTGTCCGATTTTTCCATGGGTTCCAGTTTCAGAGTTCTCATTATTACTCAAAGTAAAAGCGGACTGCGATTTAAGATGTTTCCACCCCAATACCTGGTCTTCCTTCCCGGCTTAAGGAGTACCATGTACTTAGCCACAGGCAGAATAGCTTTCGATGACCCCATAGCACTTTGTTTCTTCACCTTGATTTGCACTTTACAATGTCCCCAGCCCCTCTGCAGCCCGTGGCTGGCAGGGCGTTCGATGTGCGGTTGGCCCCCAGCGCGCCCTCCAGAGCTGCGGTGTCTCCCTGCCTCATTCCCCACATCCCACTGAGCATGGGACCACTGGGAGCAGAGCTGATATTAAAGCATGTTTAGCTTCGAAGTTTTACTTTTTTAAAGCTGAGTAGTTAAGAATTCCCTGTAAAAACAAAACCCTGTAAATTGAGCCTCATGTCTGGTATATATTTTACCAAACAGCCTTAAAATATATTTGGAAGCAAAAATCAGTACGAATGTATCTCCTTGAAAAATGCAAAAAAAAAAAAATCCCTGAAATATTCTTCTATAAATGAATCCTATTTCCCCAGAGTGTTCAAGGCATTTTTCTACCTAAATGAATACCTAAATCTTGAGTAGTGTACGGTAATGACGCTTCTTCCTATATCCACTCTTATTATGTTAAAACAAATGTATTTGCGAGTATTGGCATTTTAGACTTTAAAAATGCTGTATGATTTCAGATGAACTCTGCTGTTTAGAAGTAACCACAGAAAAGCAAAGTCAGTGTACACTCTGAGTGAAAGGAAATGTAATGTGGATAAAGGCCCGCCACCTCCTCACATTGGTCTATCTACTGGCAGCTGATACGTTTAACTCATTTCCTTGAGCTTATACAAAACATAGAAAAGCAAACTGTTAAAGTAGTCAATAATTATTTGTCTCAGATCCCAGATTCTATGATCCCTGCTTAAAAGAAAATGTTCACTGCATGTAGGTTGATTTCTTATGTTTTGTAGACTCATTGTTATTTTTCAATCCCCAAAAGTCTTGGCCTAAACCATCCCTAGGGGAGCAGATTAACCTACCACTACATTGCACAGGGTTGGTGACTCGACGTGGTGAATGTGCACACGCCCTGCCTGGTCCGCCATGTTCCAAAGAAGATGATTTAATGGTAGAACGGATACCTGCTGCTAGACCTGATGGAATGTTACCTGTCCGTGTTACATAATCAAGTGCAATATACTCAGTTCTCATGCAGGTGACATTCTACCATGAAACGCAGAAGATAAGCCATGTTTCTGTATTGTACATGTAAAGAAAAATAAAACTGTTTATGATACTTGTGTTAGTCACTCGAGCTAGCTTATTTCAGCCACTTCTAGCAGATCATGCCATGGAGCTCACGACGTGTGACCATTTCGTCATATTTAAAATATAACTTCAAGAAAAGAGTAAACATCCATTGGAGAACACGGCTGAAAATTATTGTGCTGTTCTAGGAACATCATCCTAGAGAGTGTGATGTTCACTATAACCCCATACCTACATTCCCTAATGATACAGCCAATGACAGGTGAAACCCAGACACTCTCCTTAGAGCCGACAGGTTGATCCTGCTGTGTTGAAGGCTGTGGTTAATAAAACACAAGTATGATAAACAGGACCTAGCGTTTAGCCCGGGAAAGGAGAATGCTGCTTGTCACCTAGAGTGCTTTCCTTGTGATGCGTCTCTCGCATCTTCACGTGTTGTTGTGTTTGAAGTAAAACTAGTTGTTATCGATGACAATTTTTACCATAGTTTTCTCAGCAAATTTATATCACCATCTTAGAATGGTATATAAAAAAATTGAACTGTTTATGATACCAAAAAAATTACAGTTTTGTTTAAAAGGAAATGTTGATGTTTTCAACTCCAAATCAATTCTAAAAACTTCAAGCACTTAATGGAAAGGTAAATGGTCAGATAAAAATATAATTACCTGTAAGGTTATCTGGTTTTAAAAGAAAAAAAAAAAGCCTACAAACTCAGTGACCTACTACGCAGAGGGAATTTTTCCCTGCTGCTTCTTATGAAAGTGGCCAGGTTTATTATTAGAAGACACAGTGGCAGAGCACACATGTGCACAGGTTCTGATTATTTCTCTTGGAGCATATGTCCTTGTCTTGATTTTTGCCTTTTCGATGCCATATTAAGCAGCCACCGTTTCCACCCCTTTCATTAGAAGGCCCTGCATCCGTAAATTCGCGCATCTCTGTTTTTGTTAGATCCTTGTAAGCATCGCTACCCGAGTCCAGGATGGAATTTCACAGGAAAGTGAAGGGATACTGCAGGCCTGTGTTTGCAGCGCCTGTGGTAACTGTGGAATGAGCTCTGTTAGGGACAGTTGTCTGGTTTGTGCCAAACCTTCGAGGGGCGAGTAGGGAGTGGGGGAGGTGGGTCCAAGTCTCCCTCAGGAAGGCCTTTTCTATCGGCAGCAATTCCATCAAGCCAAGCCTCCTGTGGTCCTGAGCATGAAGGGGCCAGGGGACCTCCTGGGAGATGCAGCTTTTGTTTCCGCTGCGTTTCATCAGTCAGCCTTGCTTGGAATTCTGGCAGGTTCCCCGGGGTGTTTCAGTGGACAGGAGGCCCCCGTGCCGTGGCTGAGTCAGCCTGGGTACCCCAGTCACCAGCAGGGCCACCCTTGATGACAGGGCCCCCCACGAACCTGGGAAAGGCAGCGGGAAATGTGTGAGAGGGTGTGCGCTGGTACGGACATAAAAGCATTGTCCAAAACAGCGCTGGTTCGGGGAGGGCCCCTGGATACTGCCTTTGGCCCACACTGAAAACTGAAATTGCCCCACCTGTGAGCACAGAAACACGCTTCTCCAACACGGGCCGAAATAACTAAACTCCACATGGTTCCTGCCTGCTCATTTCCCAGCCCTCTTCTTCTCAAGCCTGAACTTCATTTTTTTTTTTAGCTGCAAATTTAACAGGCTAATTTAAAACTGCAGTTTTCAGACGACAGCCCCTGGGAATGTTCCAGGGTTCTCTTGTTTTGATCTGCATGTCTGTTTACACTTCTCTGTAGGCGTGGGTTGAATACAAGTTTCCAAAACTTTAAAATAGAAAACCACGAGCTTAAGAGGTGAAAAAGATGACCCCTTTCTGATTAGGATCTGTAACTCTGTGGGCTGGGTCAATGCAGTGTGCTTCATTCAGGGCCATGTGGCAGCCATGACACACACCACATAAGGTCAGCTCAGAGCCCATGGCTTCCCTGCAGGAGCCCCATCTTGTCGCTATTAGTTGGGAGTTGCAATACATTGTTGGCCATAAACAAAGTGCTAAAGGAAAGGGTTTGCTTCTACACATTCGGCTGAATGTCCCCCAGTGCAGGGTGGCAGCAGAATGTTCTGGAAATGAAGGAGATATTGCTAGGAATCTCTAGGCTGTTAGGCAACCTGGCTTTTATTCATCCTCAGCCGGCAACTCATCTCAAGTTTATGTCTCAGTTTTTTTCCTCTAGAAAGGGGATTACAGTTCCTGTCCCTGTCTTCCTCCAGGACACACTGTGAGGATTAATGACATATTGGCTCTAAAGTCCTTTGAGCTCCTGGGAACAGGTGGTGAAAGTGTGCGTTACTGCTAAGGATTAGTCCCTGGCCTCTTCTAGAATGCCGCCCTCCCAGCTCTGCAGGGCACGCTGCCAGAATCCAGGCTGGTCGTAAACATCTCAGAGATAATCAGGGACCACCAGAGGCAGAGGCCATGAGACTGTCTTTGGAAAGGTTTGGAAATGCAGAAATAACTACAAGGGCCATTCTCCTTAGCTTCTGGCTTTCAACTGTTTCTAGATGCTTCCAAGAACAAGAACCCAGCACCAACCAGAATTAGGCCACGTTTTCACCATTACTTAAGCTCAATCGCCTCTTAGATGAAATGAGGAGATAAACTAAACATTAAAATGATGAAGGAAAAAAAATTATTTGGAAGCCGAAAACCGCATGGGTGGGGAAACATCAGGAACGAAATCAGACACACTGACTCAAACCACGCAAGGGTTTGAGAAGCCCACCCCTCTAATTCCAGGCGTTTGTAATTTCTCTACTTCGCACTTGAGAGAAGGCAGAGGTGGTCCGTGGGAAAGCTCCGGGAAACAGCCGTCTTTCATCCTTGCCACATTGAAAAATGTCCACAATTTTATGAATTGCTGTCCTAACCCTGGCGTTTTTATCCAGTGTTAAAATAAATTATTTCAAGTTTCAATGTAAACACTTAACAGATGACTTCTTTGCAGAAGAAATGTTCGTTACCTACTATCAAACTACTTTTTAACAGATTTTGTATATACACACACAAGTTGACAGAGGTTTACCTCCCTACTTTCTTAGATTTTATGTAACTCTTTTCATTGGTGCTTATTCAGAACCTGAAAGCCTTGGGCATCCAAGCTTTCACCTACTCAATGGAGGAGAGGTGATAATGAATGAAAAGATTGACACCAGGTTTCTTGGACAAATTTAAGTTCAAATTTATCTCTTTCAAGTAGACCATGGTCTCCCTAGAGAGTGTGTTGGCTTGTGTCTGCCAGTACGACAAAGGACGCTCCCAGCTTGATCGTGGTACCTTATGGAAGCCACTCACGCATTCTCTGATTTACCCCCAAAACACTACCATGCCCCAGCCCCACTCATTTAAATAATACAATCATATCACTTTCAAAGGGCTCAGCACGAATGTTCCCCTCACTCCACTTTTTAACTCGTTTGCTGAACTCGACAAGGCTTCCCCTTACGAGCAGTGAGACCTAGGCTACTTTCGAACGCTTCCTTCCGAACGGTAAGCCACTTCGCTCTCGGGCAGGACAGGTCCTCCCTGCAGAGAGAGACAACTCATCCCCCGACCTTCCATACTACAGACCAAAATACCCAGGTGTGGCCTAAGGACTATATTAAATGCCTCCTATAGAAATTCAAGGAATGTTAGAACCAGGAAACTAGCTGTTTAAAGTTTTAAAGAAGTATATAAATATATATATAAATATAAATATGAAATCATATCGAGTGTGAGGATGAGCAGAGTGCCAAATATTCAGCATCTGTACAAAGTCATTCACTGGAATTCAACTATTTTATGTCATTCTCTTTCTCACGCTTTTATGGTTCTTTTGATAAATTCTATTTAGTAGCATGCAGGATACCTAATCTGAATGTGCAATATGCTATTCATCACCACGACAATTTCTTACTTCCTCTTAATAACTTACCAGAATGTTGGTCATTCCTTTAAGGCAGTTAAGGATTGCTTTATTTGTGTTCTTTTTTCCCATGACTTTTTTTCACTCTCAGCTGACTGTAAGAAACTGTGCACCGTTTCCGCCATAACCGTCCTGTGACGATGCCTCCATTTGACTTCTGTATCGCTGATGTTCACCTCCTGTAAATAGTTTGGCAATTAAATTTTTTGAGAAAAGTAATGTTTACTTTTTTATTGGAGTGAATTCTCGTGTTATTTTAATCTCAGAAAAATTATATAGACCAAAGAGTTTTATCCGAAAAAAAATTACACTCTTCCTCCATTATATATTTCATTGTTGAAATATCCTCAATTTCTCTATATTTTAAGAAGTAATGGACATTTATTAAGGTTACAGATTTAATATGTATGCAAAATGGTATAGATTAAATGAGTTTTTAATTAATAAATCCTACAGTATTTAGTTAACGGTTGTTTTACGCTCTTTTGAGTTGCATTGAAAAGAGACGCACATTAGCTCACGGGACCTTATGGATCCTGGCTCCAGTGAGACAGGGTGGGATGTGGACTTGGTGATGAAACTCCAGGAGGACAAGTGGGTTCCAGTCCCCAGTGAGCCTGCAACTGCCAGGAAGCAGTGCAAGCCAGTCCATCCAGGGAGGTGACCGGTCTAGGAGGTGGACCGGTCCGGGGAGGCGACCAGTCCAGGGAGGGGACCAGTCCGGGAGGTAGACCAGTCTGGGGAAGTGACCAGTTGGAGAAGGTGGACCAGTCCGGGGAGGTGACCAGTCCGAGGAGGTGGACTAGTCCCGGGAGGTGGACCAGTCCAGGAGGTAGACCAGTCTGGGGAAGTGACCAGTTAGAGAAGGTGGACCAGTCCAGGAGGTAGACCAGTCTGGGGAAGTGACCAGTTAGAGAAGGTGGACCAGTCCGGGGAGGTGGACCACACGTCACCACTCTGAGCAGTTGCTCCCTGCCTTCCACCTCCTTGATCAGTTGCACCTGCCCTTCTTTCTCTTGCCTGTGACCAGCTAGTCTCACCCCTCTCAGTGAGAAATCCTGCTGCCTCATGTCTCTGCACCTTCTTTCTATGCACTCCTTGCCTGGATACTCTGAGTATTGCTCTGCAGTCTCCCCAGGGGCACAGTGCAGCTCTTGAGGACAACCCTCCCCCAGCACACATCAGGACTGTGTTTCATGCATTGTTTTTCATGTCTTTCCTTTACTGTATTTCTTTTCAAGATACACTTATAACCAGCGAAAACAAAGCTTTATATATTTTTCTTTTTTAATCCCATAGCCCTTCAATAAATATTTTAATTTACTTGGCCTTTCATTTGAAACATTATACCTTCATCCTCATGTAGTCAAACATTATTTTCCCAGAAGTCAGTAAAAGTACAAATAAATTACTATGGAATTCATTTTAAATTATAACAAGATAATTTATAGAATCTTTTAATTAAAAACCAAGAGACCAGTGCATGAGAATTTCTGGTTTCTCATACAGCATTCTGTCCTCACAACAAGAAAAAGTGGAACAAGCTGAAAAGCAGCAATTCTTTGTAGATTCTTATCAAAATGAATGTCACAGGGCAAACAGCTCCCCCAGAATGAGAGAGGCTGACACAGAGACTCACAACCCACTGAGCAGATGCCCAGGTACGGAAACCTCTGTGGGGACCTGTGCTGGGCTGGGGAAGCCTGACCCGTGGCTGACAAACCCAGAAGCTCAACGTGGACAAACCTGAGGACTGAAAACTCTAGGGGGCCCAGTCTTAGGACGCCCCCAACACCTTGTGAGCTTTACCCCCAGGAACCCCCCCGCCCCCCCCGCCAGGTTCTCAGGGTATAGATCAGAGAAAAATGCCCTTGTGTTTCCAGCAGGTGGGGGGAAAGTAGCCATTCTGAAATATGCCCAGAGCATCTGTTCACCTTAAAAAAAGGCCCTCAAGTAAAAGTATCCTACCAAAGCCTAACAGACAGACTTGGGGTTTGCCAGAGTCTGACATATCTAGGGGAAGGGAAAGACCCTATGCCAGCCCCCTGTAGCCATCCTAAGGCAGGGGTGGGGAGGGGGGACTGGGAAGGATTTACAAAGATCAGACCTCAGGGCACAGGCTCACTGAAAGACTGAGACCCAATCATAGGATAAGAGAAAGCTTCCCCTCCCCCCTACACCTTACCATTCCATCAATAGCACTTTTGTATTAAAAAAGAGGGAGGCCGGGTATGGTGGCTCGCACCTGTAATCCCAGCACTTTGGGATGCCAAGGTGAGAGGATCGCTTGAGCACAGGACTTTTTAAAAAAGAGACCCAACAGCATGCTGTTACCAGAAAAGCGCTTTAAATATAAAGACACTGATTAAAAGTAACACCATAGAGCAGTGTAAACCATGCTAACACTAATCCAAAGCAAGCTGCAGTCACTGCATTAACACCAGACAGGGCACCCTTCAGACAAGAAATCTCCTCCAGGACACAGAAGGACATGACATAATGATAAAGAGGCCAGTTCTCCACAAAGGCATGACAATGCTCAATGTGCCTGTGCCTAAAAACAGTGTCAAGTGACACGAAAACCAGCAGAACTACAAAGAAAGAGAAATCCACTGTGGCGGTTAGAGAGCTCAGCACCTGTCTACCAGTAACTGACAGATCCAGCCAGCAGAAAATCAGCAAGGACATAGCTGACCTCAACAGCACCACTGGTTACCTAGCTATAATGAACACCTAACACCCTACTTCATCCAACTACAGTGGAACAGACATGCTTCCCAAGCTATACTCTGGGCTACGAAACACACCTTAAAAATGTAAAAGAAGCACCACTGGTTACCTAGCTATAATGCACACCTAACACCCTACTTCGTCCAACTGCAGCAGAACACACATGCTTCCCAAGCTACACTCTGGGCTATGAAACACACTTTAAAAATGTAAAAGAAGCACCACTGGTTACCTAGCTATAATGAACACCTAACACCCTACTTCATCCAACTACAGCAGAACACACATGCTTCCCAAGCTACACTCTGGGCTATGAAACACACTTTAAAAATGTAAAAGAAGCACCACTGGTTACCTAGCTATAATGCACACCTAACACCCTACTTCGTCCAACTGCAGCAGAACACACAGGCTTCCCAAGCTACACTCTGGGCTATGAAACACACCTTAACAGATGTAAAAGAAGCACCACTGGTTACCTAGCTATAATGCACACCTAACACCCTACTTCGTCCAACTGCAGCAGAACACACATGCTTCCCAAGCTACACTCTGGGCTATGAAACACACTTTAAAAATGTAAAAGAAGCACCACTGGTTACCTAGCTATAATGAACACCTAACACCCTACTTCATCCAACTACAGCAGAACACACATGCTTCCCAAGCTACACTCTGGGCTATGAAACACACGCTAACAGATGTAAAAGAAGCACCACTGGTTACCTAGCTGTAATGAACACCTAACACCCTACTTCATCCAACTACAGCAGAACACACATGCTTCCCAAGCTACACTCTGGGCTATGAAACACACGCTAACAGATGTAAAAGAATAGAGTCATACAATGTATGAACTCTCAATTCCACAACGGAGTTAAACTAGAAATCAGTAACAGAAAGATAGCTGGAAAATCCCCAAACACATGGAGATTAAGCAATGCACTTCTAATACCACATGGATCTACAAAGAAGTCTCAAAAGAAATTTAAAAATATTTAAACTAAATGAAAATAACAACACAATATATGTAAATTTGTGAGATGCAGCAAAAGCAGTGCCTGGAAGAAATGCATAGCATTCAATGCCTGTATTAGAAAAGAATGATCCAAAAGCAATCATTTAGATATCCATCTTAGGAGGCAGTCAAATCCAAAGTAAGCACAGGAAATGAAATAATAAAAATTAGAGCAGAAATCAATACAATTGAAAATAGGAAACAGAGAAAAATAATGTAATCAAAAGCCAGCGCTTTGAAAAGATCAATAAAATTGATAAGCCGCTAACCGTTCACTCTCCTGGAAAAGGGGCTGCAGCCAGGGAGCCAAGTGGTCTGGCTCGGTGGGTCCCACCCCCAAGGAGCCCAGCAAGCTAAGATCCACTGGCTTGAAATTCTTGCTGCCAGCACAGAAATCAACCTGAAATCAACCTGAAATGCTCAAGCTTGGTGCGGGCAGGGGTGCCCACCACTGCGAGGCTTGAGTAGGCAGTTTTACCCTCACCGTGTAAACAAAGCCTCTGGGAAGTTCGAACTGGGCAATCCCACCGCAGCTCAGCAAGGCCACTGTGGCCAGACTGCCTCTCTAGACTCCGCCTCTCTGGGCAGGGCATCTCTGAAAAACAGGCAGCAGCCCCAGTCAGGGGCTTGTAGATAAAACCCCCATCTAACTGGGACAGAGCACCCAGGGAAAGGGGCGGCTGTGGGTGCAGCTTCAGCAGAATTAAACGCTCATGCCTGACGGCTGTGAAGACAACAGCAGATCTCCCAGCACAGCACTCAAGTCTCTGCTAAGGGTCAGACTGCCTCCTCAACTGGGTCCCTGACCCTGGTGTATCCTGACTGGGAGAAACCTCCCAGTAGGGGACAACAGACACCTCATACAGGAGAGCTCTGGCTGGCATCTGGTGGGTGCTCCTCTGGGATGAAGATTCCAAAGGAAGGAACAGGCAGCAATCTTTGCTGTTCTGCAGCCTCCGCTGGCGATACTCAGGCAAACAGGGTCTGGAGTGGACCTCCAGCAAACTCCAGCAGACCTGCAGCAGAGGGGCCTGATGGTTAGAAGGAAAACTAACAAACAGAAAGCAATAGCATCAACATCAACAAAAAGGACATCCACACCAGAACCCCATCTGAAGGTCAACAGCATCAAAGACCAAAGGTAGAGAAATCCATGAAGATGGAAGAAACTGGCGCAAAAAGGCTGAAAATTCCAAAAGCCATAACGCCTCTTCTTCTCCAAAGGATCACAACTCCTCGCCAGCAAGGGAACAAAACTGGACAGAGAATAAGTTTGATGAATTGACAGAAGTAGGCTTCAGAAGGTGGGTAACAAACTCCTCTGAGCTAAAGGAGCATGTTCTAACCCAAAGCAAGGAAGCTATGAACCTGGAAAAAAGGTTAGAGGAATTGCTAACTAGAATAACCAGTGTGGAGAAGAACATAAATGACCTGATGAAGCTGAAGACCACAGCATGAGAACTTCGTGAAGCATATACAAGTATCAATAGCCGAATCGATCAAATGGAAGAGAGGATATCAGAGATTAAAGATCAACGAAATGAAATAAAGTGAGAAGACAAGATCACAGAAAAAAGAATGAAAAGGAACAAACAAAGCCTCCAGGAAATATGGGACTACGTGAAAAGACCAAATCTAAGTTCGATTAGTGTACCTGAAAGTGACGGGGAGAATGGAACCAAGTTGGGAAATACTCTTCAGGATATTATCCAGGAGAACTTCCCCAAACTAGCAAGACAGGCCAACATTCAAATTCAGGAAATACAGAGAACACGACAAAGATACTCCTGGAGAAGAGCAACCCCAAGACACATTAACATCAGATTCACCAAGGTTGAAATGAAGGAAAAAAATCTTAAGGGCAGCCAGAGAGAAAGGTCAGACTACCCACAAAGGGAAGCCCATCAGATTAACAGTGGATCTCTCTGCAGAAACCCTACAAGCCAGAAGAGAGTGGGGCCAATGTTCAACATTCTTAAAGAAAAGAATTTTCAACCAGAATTTCATATCCAGCCAAACTAAGTTTCATAAGCAAAGGATGAATAAAATCCTTTACAGACAAGCAAATGCTGAGAGATATTGTCATCACCAGGCCTGCCTTACAAGAGCTCCTGAAGGAAGCACTAAACATGGAAAGGAACCACCAGTACCAGCCATTGCAGAAACATACCAAATTGTGGCCAGGTGCAGTGGCTGACACCTGTAATGCCAGCACTTTGGAAGGCTGAGACAGGCAGAACACGAGGTCAGGAGATCGAGACCAACCTGGCTAACACAGTGAAACCCCATCTCTACTAAAAATACAAAAAAATTAACCGGGCATGGTGGCAGGCGTCTGTAGTCCCAGCTTCTTGGTAGGGTCAGGCAGGACAATGGCGTGAACCCAGGAGGTGGAGCTTTCAGTGAGCCGAGACTGCAGCACTGCACTCCAGCCTGGGCAACAGAGCAAGACTCCATCTCAAAAAAAAAAAAAAAATTGTAAAGACCATCAACACTACAAAGAAACTGCATAAACTAATGAGCAAAATAACCAGCTAGCATCATAATGACAGGATCAAATTCACACATAACAATATTAACCTTAAACGTAAATGGACTGAATGCCCCAATTAAAAGACACAGACTGGCAAATTGGATAAAGAGTCAAGACCCATCAGTGTGCTGTATTCAGGAGACCCATCTCATGTGCAAAGACACACATAGGCTCAAAATAAACAGATGGAGGAATATTAACGAAGAAAATGGAAAGCAAAAAAAGGCAGGGGTTGCAATCCTAGTCTCTGATAAAACAGACTTTAAACCAACAGAGATGAAAAGAGACAAAGAAAGGTATTACATAATGGTAAAGGGATCAATTCACCAAGAGCTAACTATCCTAAATATATAAGCACCCAATACAGGAGCACGCAGATTCATAAAGCAAGTTCTTAGAGACCTACAAAGAGACTTAAAATCTCCCATATTATTGTGTGGGAGTCTAACACTCCACTGTCAATATCAGACAGATCAATGAGACGGAAAATTAACTAGGATATTCAGGACCTGAACTCAGATCTGGACCAAGCAGACCTAATAGACATCTACAGAACTCTCCACCCCAAATCAATAGAATACACATTCTTGTCAGCATCTCATTATGCTTATTCTAAAATTAACCACATAATTGGAAGTAAAACACTCCTCAGCAAATGCAAAAGGATGGAAGTCATAACAAACGGCCTCTCTGACCACAATGCAATCAAATTAGAACTCAGGATTAAGAAACTCACTCAATGGCCAAGCGCAGTGGCTCACGCCTGTCATCCCAGCACTTTGGGAGGTCCGGGGCAGGCAGATCACCTGAGGTCGGGAGTTCGAGACAAGCCTGACCAATGTGGAGAAACCCCATCTCTAATAATAATAATAAAAAAAAAAAAAAAAAAAACTTAGCTGGACATGGTGGCACATGCCTGTAATCCCAGCTACTCGGGAGGCCAAGGTGGGAGAATCACTGGAACCCAGGAGGCAGAAGTTGCAGTGAGCTGAGATCACGCCATTGCACTCCAGCCTGGGCAACAAGAGGGAAACTCCATCTCAAAAAAAAAAAAAAAAAAAAAAGGACTCACTCAAAACTGCACCACACAACTACATGGAAACTGGACAACCTGCTCCTGAAAGACTACTTGGTAAATAACAAAATTAAGGCAGAAATAAAGATGTTCCTTGAAACCAATGAGAACAAAGACAACGTACCAGAATCTATGGGACATATTTCAGGCAGTGTTTAGAGGTACTTTTTTTTTTTTTTTTTTTTTGAGGCAGAGTCTTGCTCTGTCGCCTCCATGCAGGAGTTCAGCAGTACGATCCCAGCTCACACTGCAAGTTCTGCCTCCCAAGTTCACGCCATTTTCCTGCCTCAGCTTCCCGAGTAGCTGGGACTACAGGCGCCTACCACCATGCCCAGCTAATTTTTTTGTATTTTTAGTAGAGACAGGGTTTCACCATGTTAGCCAGGATGGTCTCAATCTCCTGAACTCGTGATCTGCCCACTTTGGCCTCCCAAAGTACCAGGATTACAGGCGTGAGACACTGTGCCCTGCCTAGAGGGAAATTTGTAGCACTAAATGCCCACAAGAGAAAGCAGCAAAGATCTAAAATTGACACCCTAACATCACAATTAAAAGAACTAGAGAAGCAAGAGCAAACAAATTCAAAAGCTAGCAGGGACAAGAAATAACTAAGATCAGAGCAGAACTGAAAGAGATAGAGACACGAAAACGCCTTCAAAAAAATGAATCCAGGAGCTGGTTTTTTGAAAAGATCAACAAAATAGATAGACTGCTAGCAAGACTAATAAAGAAGAGAAAAGAATCAAATAGACAGAATAAAAAATGATAAAGGGGATATCACCACTGATACCACAGAAATACAAACTAACATCAGAGAATACTATAAACACCTCTATGCAAATAAACTAGAAAATCTACAAGAAATGGATAAATTCTGGGACACATACACTCTCCCAAGTCTAAACCAGGAAGAAGTCAAATCCCTGAATAGACCAATAACAAGTTCTGAAATTGAGGCAATAATTAATAGCCTTCCAACCAAAAGAAGTCGAGGACCAGAAAGATTCACAGCCGAATTCTACCAGAGGTACAAAGAGGAGCAGGTACTATTCCTTCTGAAACTATTCAAAACAATAGAAAAAGAGGGAATCCTCCCTAACTCATTTTAAGAGGCCAGCATCATCCTGATACCAAAACCTGGCAGAGACACAACAAAAAAAGAGAATTTTAGACCAATATCCCTGATAAACATCGATAGAAAAATCATCAATAAAATACTGTGAAACCTAATCCAGTAGCACATTAAAAAGCTAATCCACTACGATCAAGTCGGCTTCATCCCTGGGATGCAAGGCTGGTTCAACAAACGCAAATCAATAAACGTAATTCATCACAAACAGAAACAATGACAAAAAACACATGATCAGCTCAATAGATGCAGAAAAGGCCTTCAACAAAATTCCACAGCGCTTCATGCTAGAAACTCTCAATAAACTAGGTATTGATGGAATGTATTTCAAAATAATAAGAGCTTTTTATGACAAACCCACAGCCAATATCATACTGAATGACCAAAAACTGTAAGCATTCCCTTTGAAAACCAGCACAAGACGTCTATTAGGTCCACTTAGTGCAGAGCTGAGGTCAATTCCTAGATATCCTTGTGAACTTTCTGTCTCATTGATCTGTCTAATGTTGACAGTGGGGTGTTAAAGTCTCCCATTATTATTGTGTGGGAGTCTAAGTCTCTTTGTAGGTCTCTAAGGACTTCCTTTATGAATCTGGGTGCTCCCGTATTGGGTGCATATATATTTAGGATAGTTAGCTCTTCTTGTTGAATTGATCCCTTTACCATTATGTAATGGCCTTCTTTGTCTCTTTTGATTTTTGTTGGTTTAAAGTCTGTTTTATCAGGGACTAGGATTGCAACCCCTTCCTTTTTTTGTTTTCCATTTTCTTGGTAGATCTTCCTCCATCCCTTTATTTTGAGCCTATGTGTGTCTCTGCACATGAGATGGGTTTCCTTAATACAGCACACTGATGGGTATTGACTCTTTATCCAATTTGCCAGTCTATGTCTTTTAATTGGAGCATTTAGCCCATTTACATTTAAGGTTAATATTGTTATGTGTGAATTTGATCCTGTCATTATGATGCCAGCTGGTTATTTTGCTTGTTAGTTGATGCATCTACAGAACTCTCCACCCCAAATCAACAGAATATACATTCTTTTCAGCACCACACCTATTCCAAAATTGACCACATAGTTGGAAGTAAAGAACTCCTCAGCAAATGTTAAAGAACAGAAATTATAACAAACTGTCTCTCAGACCACAGTGCAATCAAACTAGAACTCAGGATTAAGAAACTCACTCAAAACCGCTCAACTACATGGAAACTGAACAACCTGCTCCTGAATGACTACTGAGTACATAACGAAATGAAGGCAGAAATAAAGATGTTCTTTGAAACCAATGAGAGCAAAGACACAACATACCAGAATCTCTGGGACACATTCAAAACAGTGTGTAGAGGGAAATTTATAGCACCAAATGCCCACAAGAGAAAGCAGGAAAGATCTAAAATTGACACCCTAACATCACAATTAAAAGAACTAGAGAAGCAAGAGAAAACACATTCAAAAGCTAGCAGAAGGCGAGAAATAACTAAAATCAGAGCAGAACTGAAGGAAATAGAGACACAAAAAAACCCTTCAAAAAAATCAATGAATCCAGGAGCTGTTTTTTTTGAAAAGATCAACAAAACTGATAGACCACTAGCAAGACTAATAAAGAAGAAAAGAGAGAAGAATCAAATAGACACAATAAAAAATGATAAACGGGATATCACCACCGATCCCACAGAAATACAAACTACCATCAGAGAATACTATAAACACCTCTATGCAAATAAACTAGAAAATCTAGAAGAAATGGATAAATTGCTCGACACATACCCTCTCCCAAGACTAAACCAGGAAGAAGTTGAACCCTTGAACAGACCAATAACAGGGTCTGAAATTGAAGCAATAATTAATAGCCTACCAACTAAAAAAAGTCCAGGACCACATGGATTCACAGCCGAACTCTACCAAAAGTACAAAGAGGAGCTGGTACCATCTTTCTGAAATTATTCCAATCAATAGAAAAAGAGGGAATCCTCCCTAACTCATTTTATGAGGCCAGCATCATCCTGATACCAAAGCCTGGCAGAGACACAACAAAAAAAGAGAATTTTAGACCAATATCCCTGATCAACATCGATGCAAAAATCCTCAATAAAATACTGGCAAACCGAATCCAGCAGCACATCAAAAAGCTTATCCACCATGATCAAGTGGGCTTCATCCCTGGGAAGCAAGGCTGGTTCAATATACGCAAATCAATAAATGTAATCCAGCATATTAAACAGAGCCAAAGACAAAAACCACATGATTATCTCAATAGATGCAGAAAAGGCCTTTGACAAAATTCAACAACCCTTCGTGCTAAAAGCTCTCAATAAACTAGGTATTGATGGGACATATCTCAAAATAATAAGAGCTATCTATGACAAACCCACAGCCAATATCATAGTGAATGGACAAAAACTGGAAGCATTCCCTTTGAAAACTGGCACAAGACAAGGATGCCCTCTCTCACCACTCCTATTCAACAGAGTGTTGGAAGTTCTGGCCAGGGCAATCAGGCAGGAGAAGGAAATAAAGGGTATTCAATTAGGGAAAGAGGAAGTCAAATTGTCCTTGTTTGCAGATGACATGATTGTATATCTAGAAAACCCCATTGTCTCAGCCCAAAATCTCCTTAAGCTGATAGGCAACTTCAGCAAAGTCTCAGGATACGAAATCAATGTGCAAAAATCACAAGCATTCTTATACACCAATAACAGACAAACAGAGAGCCAAATCATGAGTGAACTCCCATTCACGTTTGCTTCAAAGAGAATAAAATACCTAGGAATACAACTACAAGGGATGTGAAAGACCTCTTCAAGGAGAACTACAAACCACTACTCAATGAAATAAAAGAGGATACAAACACATAGAACATTCCATGCTCATGGGTAGGAAGAATCAATATCATGAAAATGGCCATACTGCCCAAGGTAATTTATAGATTCAATGCCATCCCCATCAAGCTACCAATGACTTTCTTCACAGAATTGGAAAAAACTACTTTAAAGTTCATATGGAACCAAGAAAGAGCCCGCATTGCCAAGTCAATCCTAAGCCAAAAGAACAAAGCTGGAGGCATCACGCTACCTGACTTCAAACTATACTACAAGGCTACAGTAACCAAAACAGCATGGTACTGGTACCAAAACAGAGATATAGACCAATGGAACAGAACAGAGCCCTCAGAAATAATGCCACATATCTACAACCATCTGATCTTTGACAAACCTGACAAAAACAAGCAATGGGGAAAGGACTCCCTATTTAATAAATGGTGCTGGGAAAACTGGCTAGCCATATGTAGAAAGCTGAAACTGGATCCCTTCCTTACACCTTATACAAAAATTAATTCAAGACGGACTAAAGACTTAAATGTTAGATCTAAAATCATAAAAACCCTAGAAGAAAACCTAGGCATTACCATTCAGGACATAGGCATGGGCAAGGACTTCATGTCTAAAACACCAAAAGCAATGGCAACAAAAGCCATAATTGACAAATGGGATCTAATTAAACTAAAGAGCTTCTGAACAGCAAAAGAAACTACCATCAGAGTAAACAGGCAACCTACAGAATGGGAGAAAATTTTTGCAATCTACTCATCTGACAAAGGGCTAATATCCAGAATCTACAATGAACTCCAACAAATTTGCAAGAAAAAAACAAACAACCCCATCAAAAAGTGGGCAAAGGATATGAACAGACACTTCTCAAAAGAAGACATTTATGCAGCCAAAAGACACATGAAAAAATGCTCATCATCACTGGCCATCAGAGAAATGCAAATCAAAACCACAGTGAGATACCATCTCACACCAGTTAGAATGGTGATCATTAAAAAGTCAGGAGACAACAGGTGCTGGAGAGGATGTGGAGAAATAGGAACACTTTTACACTGTTGGTGGGACTGTAAACTAGTTCAACCATTGTGGAAGTCAGTGTGGTGATTCCTCAGGGATCTAGAACTAGAAATACCATTTGACCCAGCCATCCCATTACTGGGTATATACCCAAAGGATTATAAATCATGATGCTATAAAGACACATGCACACATATGTTTATTGCGCCACTATTCACAATAGCAAAGACTTGGAACCAACCCAAATGTCCAACAATGATAGACTGGATTAAGAAAATGTGGCAAATATACACCATGGAATACTATGCAGCCATAAAAAATGATGACTTCATGTCCTTTGTAGGGACATGGATGAAGCTGGAAACCATCATTCTGAGCAAACTATTGCAAGGATAAAAAAACAAACACTGCATGTTCTCATGCATAGGTGGGAATTGAACAATGAGAACACATGGAAACAGGAAGGGGAACATCACACACCGGGGCCTGTTGTGGGGTTGGGGGAGGGTGGAGGGATAGCATTAGGAGATACACCTAATGCTAAATGATGAGTTAATGGGTGCAGCACACCAACATGGCACATGTTTACATATGTAACAAACCTGCACGTTGTGCACATATACCCTAAAACTTAAAGTATAATTTAAAAAAAAAGAAAAAGAAAAAAAAAAAAAAAGAAAACCAGCACAAAATAAGGCTTCCTTCTCTAACCACTCCTATTCAACATAGTATTGGAAGTTCTGACCAGGGCAATCACGTAAGAGAAAGAAATAAAGGGTACTCAATTAGGAAAAGAGGAAGTCAAATTGTCTCTGTTTGCAGATGACATGACTGTATATTTAGAAAACCCCATCGTCTCAGCCCAAAATCTCCTTAAGCTGATAAGCAACTTCAGCAAAGTCTAAGGATACAAAATCCATATTCAAAAATCACAAGCATTCCTATACACCAATAACAGACAAACGACAGCCAAATCATGAGTGACCTCTCACTCACGATTGCTACCAAGAGAATAAAATACCTAGGAATCCAACTTACAAGGGATGTGAAGGACCTCTTCAAGAAGAACTACAAACCACTGCTCAAGAAAATGAGAGAGGACACAAATAAATGGAACAACATTCCATGCTCATGGATAGCAGGAATCAATATCGGGAAAATGGCCATACTGCCCAAGGTAATTTACAGATTCAATGCTATGGCCATCAAGCTACCATTGACTTTCTTCACAGAATTGGAAAAAACTACTTTAAATGTCATATGGAACCAAAAAGGAGCCCACATAGCCAAGACAATCACAAGCAAAAAGAACAAAGCTGGAGGCATCACACTACCTGACTTCAAACTATACTACAAGGCTACAGTAACCAAAAGAGCATGGTACTGGTACCAAAACAGATATAGACAAATGGAACAGAACAGAGCCCTCAGAAATAACACCACACATCTAAAACCATCTGATCTTTGACAAACTTGACAAAAACAAGAAATGGGGAAAGGATTCTCTAATTAATAAATAGTACTAGGAAAACTACCTAGTCATATGCACAAAACTGAAACTGGACCCCTTCCTTACACTTTATACAAAAATTAACTCAAGATGGATTAACGACTTAAATGTAAAACCTAAAACCATAAAAACCCTAGAAGAAAACCTAGGCAACACCACTCAGGACATAGGCATGGGCAAAAATTTTTGGTGAATAAAACACCAAAAGCAAGGGCAAGTAAAGCCAAAATTAACAAATGGGATCTAATTAAACTAAAGAGCTTCTGCACAGCAAAAGAACCTATCATCAGAGTGAACAGGCAACCTACAGAATGGCAGAAAATTTTTGCATTCTATCCATATGACAAAGGGCTAATATCCAGAATCTACAAAGAACTATAACAAATTTACAAGAAAAAAACAAACCACTCCATCAACAGGTGGGAGATAGGAACAGATACTTCTCAAAAGAAGACATTTATGCGGCCAAAAAACATTGAAAAAAAGCTCACCATCACTGATCACTAGAGAAATGCAAATCAAAACCACAATGAGGTACCATCTCACGCCAGTTAGAACGGTGATCATTAAAAAGGCAGGAAACAGATGTCAGAGATGATGTGGAGAAATAGGAATGCTTTTACACTGTTGGTGGGAGTATAAATTAGTTCAACCATTGTGGAAGATACTGTAGCGATTCCTCAAGGATCTAGAAGCAGAAATAGCATTTGACCCAGCAATCCCATTACTGGGTATACACACAAAGGATTATACATCTTTCTACTATAAAGGTGCATTCACACGTATGTTTATTGCGGCGCTATTCACAATAACGAAGACTTGGAACTAACCAAAATGCCCACAAATGATAGACTGGATAAAGAAAATGTGATACATATACACCATGGAATAATATGCAACCATAAAAAAGGATGAGTTAATGTCATTTGCAGGGACAGGGATGAAGCTGGACACCATCATTCTCAGCAACTAACACAAGAACAGAAAACCAAACACCTCATGTTCTTACTCATGAGTGGGAGATGAACAATGAGAACACATGGACACAGGGAGGGGAACATCACACATCAGGGCCTGTCGGTGGGTGGGGGCTAGAGGAGAGATAGCATTAGGAGAAACACCTAATGTAGATGATGGGTTGATGGATGCAGAAACCACTATGGCACATGTATACCTATGTAACAAAACTGCACGTTCTGCTCATGTGCCCCAGAACTTAAAGTATAATCTAAAAAAATTAGCCTGGTGTAGTAGCAAGCACCTGATTCTGGTGCATGCACCTGATATAGTAGCTGCAGTCCCAGCTACTAGGTCAAGGCTGCAGTGAACCCCGATTGCACCCCTGCATTCCAGCCTGGGTGATTGAGAGAGAACCTGTTTCAAAAAAAAAATGAATTGTATAAACAACTAATGTCTATAAACTTGATAACGTAGACGAAATGAACCAATTCCTAGGAAGATACAATCCAACAAAACACACCTAAGTGGAAATATGTATTCTGAATAGGACTGTATTTATTAAAGAAATTAAATAACCTTCTTCCCAAACAGAAAGCACCCATCCCAGATGAGGTCACTGTTGAGTTCCACCAAACTCACCAGTAACTATAAGAATCACACCAATTCTCCATAATGTCTTTTAGAAAATAGAAGCAGAGGTACTACTTCCTAACTCATTCTGAGGCCAGGATTCCCCTAAAACCAAAGCCAAACAAAGATATTAAAAGAAAGGAATTCTAAAATCAGTATGTCTCAGGAACATAGATGCAAAATCCTCAAAAAAAGAAAAACCCAAAAATAACAAATCAAGCGCAACGATATGTAAAAAGAATTGTATACCACAACCAAGAGGGATTTATCCCCAGTACACAAGACTGTTATAAACATTTGAAAATCAATTAATGTAATCACCACATCAACAGGCTAAAGAAAAAAATCATAAATTTTATCAGTAGATACAGAAAAAGCATTTGGCAGAACCCAACACCATTCACAGTGAAGAGTCTCAGCAAACTCGGAATAAAGGGTACTTTCTCAACTTGATAAAGAACATCAGCCGGGCGCGGTGGCTCACGCCTGTAATCCCAGCACTTTGGGAGGCTGAGGCGGGCGGATCACGAAGTCAGGAGATCGAGACCATCCTGGCTAATATGGTGAAACCCCATCTCTACTAAAAATACAAAAAATTAGCCGGGCGTGGTGGCCAGTGCCTGTAGTCCCAGCTACTCGGGAGGCTGAGGCAGGAGAATGGCGTGAACCCGGGAGGCTGAGCTTGCAGTAAGCTGAGATCGCGCCACTGCACTCCAGCCTGGGTGACAGAGCGAGACTCCGTCTCAAAAAAAAAAAAAAAAAAAAAAAAAAAAAAAATCTGCATCTGCAAAAGTCTACAACAAGCACCCTATTTAATTATGAGAAACTGGAAGGCTCCCCAGTAGGATCAGGAACAGGGCAGGAACATCCCTCTCACCACTACTGTTCATCATCACACTGAAGATCCCAGCTAACACAATAAAGCAAGGAAAGGAAAGACGAGGCACACGCATTGGGAAGAGATTAAAAATCTGTCTTTGTTTACAGATGACAATTGTCTGTAGAAAATACCAAAGAAACAACAACAACAAAAAAACACTCATGGAACCAAAAGCAATTACAGCTAGGTTGCAGGATAAAAAGTTAATATGAAAAATCAATTGCTTTCTTACATAGAAGCCATTAACAATTGGAATCTGAAATTTCAAAACATCTTTAATGCAACTGCAATAAAAATCCCAGCAAGTTACCTTGTGACTGTTGACAAACGGATTCTAAAGTTTATATGGAGAGGCAAAGACCCAGAACAGCCAACAAAATAGGGAGGGAGGAAAACAAAGTCAGAGGAGTGACACTTCCCACCTTCGAGTCTGACTCTAACACCACAGCAATCAGGATGGTGTGTGATTTGCTAAATAACAGACCAGATCAATGAAACAGAATTGAGAACCCAGAAACAGACCCACATGAATGTAGTCAACTGATCTTTGACAAAGGAACAAATGCAAGTCAGTGCTGAAAAGATCGTTTTTTAAACAAATAGTGCTAGAACAGCTGGACAGCCACAGACAAAAAAAAAGAATCTAGATTTAGACTTTAGACCTTTCACAAAGTCTTATTAACAATGGATCATGGCCTGGCTGGCACAGTGGTTCACTCCTGTAATCCCAGCACTTTGGGAGTTTGAGGTGGGAGAATCACTTGAGCCCAGGAATGTGAGACCAGCTTGGGCAACATAGAGACACCCTGACTCTACAAAAAATAAATACAATTAGCCAGGTGTGGTGGCGGCACCTATAGTCCCAGCTACTTGGGAGGCTGAAGCAGGAGGATCGCTTGAGCCCAGGAGGTCGATGCTACAGTGAGCCAAGATCACACCACTGTACTCCAGCATGGATGACAAAGCAAGACCCTGTCTCAAAAAAATAAAAAGTAAAAATATAGAAAATTTTAAAATAAAAAATAGATCATAGACCTAAATGTAAAATGCAAAGCTATAAAACTTCCAGAAGATAACATAGGAGAACATCTAGGTGACCTCTAGTTTGGTGGTGATCTTTTAGATACAACATCAAAGGCATGATCCATTAACGAAAGGATTGATAAGTTCGAATTCATTAAAATTTTAAAACCCATCTATTCATTTGAAAGACTGTGTTCAGAAAATGAATTGACAAACCACAGACTGGGAGAAAATATTTGCAAAACATTTATCTAATAAAAGACTGGCATCCAAAATATACAAACAGCTCTTAAAACTCAACAGTAAGAAAACAAATAACCGAATTTAAAAATTGGCAAAGAGGCATGGTCGCTCATGCCTGTAATCCCAGCACTTTGGGAGGGTGAGGCGGGAACATCACCTGAGGTCAGGAATTCGAGACCAGCCTGGCCAGCATGGTGAAACCCTGTCTCTACTAAAAATACAAAAAATTAGCCGGGCATGGTGGCGGGTACCTGTAGTCCCAGCAACTCAGGAGGCTGAGGCAGGAGAATCGTTTGAACCCGGGAGGGAGAGGTTGCAGTGGGCCAAGTTCATGCCATTGCACTCCAGCCTGGGTGACAGAACAGAACGCCATCTCAAAATAATAATAATAGTAATAATAATAATAATTGATGAAGACCTAAGGAGACGCCTCATCAAGAAAATATCCAGAAGGCAAATAAGGCATATAAAAGGACATCACATGCCATCAAGGAAATGCAAATTAAAACCACAGTGAGACACCACCACACACCTATGAGCATGTCTGCTATTCAAAACACTGACAACTCCAAACACCAATAAGGATGCAGAGTAACAGGTGCCCTCGTTTGCTGCTGGTGGGAATGCAAAATGGTGCAGGCACTTTGGAAGACAGTTTGGCAGTGTCTCATAAACATAAATATTATACTGAAGCTATTAAAATGCAGAGTATGAAGACCTAAATTTTGATCCCTATCTAATTCCCACAGCAGACCTTAAACCAGGAGAACTACCACTCCTTGAAGTTGGTAACTGGGTAGTCTTACCTGTTGAAATGTCTATCCACATATCAGTCTCATCTGGAGACGTACTGCCCTCCTGAGCTCCCCCATCTCTAGGCCTAAAAACGGATTCAGATCCAGGACTTTTAGATAGAGCAGCTCTCACATCGGCACAACCCGGCCTGGAGCACGGACAGTGCTTAGACATTTCTAGTTGAACTTTCCATTCAACCCAGGAATTGTGCTCCTTGGTGTCTACACAAAGGAGTTAAAAACTTGTGTCCACACAAACACCTGCATAGAAATGTTTACATTCATAATTGCCAAAACCTGGAAGCAGCCAGGATGTCTTTCTGTGGGTGAATGAATCGTGATGCCACATCTACAACCATCTGATCTTCAACAAACCTGACAAAAACAAGCAATGGGGAAACGATTCCCTATTTAATAAATGGTGCTGGGAAAACTGGCTAGCCATATGCAGCAAACAAACTGGAACCATTCCTTGCACCTTATACAAAAATTAACTCAAGATGGATTAAAGACTTAAATGTAAAACCTAAAACCATAAAAACCCGAGAAGAAAACCTAGGCAATACGATTCAGGACATAGGCATGGGCAAAGACTTTGTGAATAAAACACCAAAAGTAATGGCAACAAAAGCCAAAATTGACAAATGGGATCTAATTAAACTAAAGAGCTTCTGCACAGCAAAAGAACCTATCATTAGAGTGAACAGGCAACGTACAGAATGGCAGAAAATTTTTGCAATCTATCCATCTGACAAAAGGCTAATATCTAGAATCTGCAAGGAACTTAAATTTATAAGGAAAAAAAAACCTCATCGAAAAGTGGGCGAAGTATATGAACAGACACTTCCCAAAAGAAGACATTTATGCAGCCAACAAACATATGAAAAAAAGCTCATCATCATTGGTCATTAAAGAAATGCAAATCAAAACCACAATGAGATACCATTTCATGCCAGTTAGACTGATGATTATTAAAAAATCAGGGAACAACAGATGCTGGAGAGGATGTGGAGAAATAGGAACGCTTTTACACTGTTGATGGGAGTGTAAATTAGTTCAAGCATTTTGGAAGACAGTGTGGCAATTCCTCAAGGATCTAGAACCAGAAATAGCATTTGACCCAGCAATCACATTACCAGGTATATACACAAAGGATTATAAATCATTCTGCTATAAAGATACATACATACATATGTTTATTGCAGTACTATCCACAATAGCAAAGACTTGGAACCAACCCAAATGCCCATCATTGACAGACTGTATAAAGAAAATGTGGCACATATATGCCATGGAATACTATGCAACCATAAAAAAGAATGAGTTCATGTCCTTTGCAGGGACACGGATGAAGCTGGAAACCATTCTCAGCAAACTAACACAGGAACAGAAAACGAAACATTGCATGTTCTCACTCATAAGTGGGAGTTGAACAATGAGAACGCATGGACACAGGAAGGGGAACATCACACACTGGGGCCTGTTGGTGGGTGCGGAGGGAGAGCATTAGGACAAATACCTAAGGCATGTGGGGCTTAAAACCTAGATGACGGGTTGATAGGTGCAGCAACCACCATGGCACATGTACACCTATGTAACAAACCTGCCTGTTCCGCACACATATCCCAGAACTTAAAAATAAACTCTGGTGCATCCAGACAATGCAATATTATTGAGCACTTTTTAAAAATGAGCTATCAAGCCATGAAAAGACATGGGGGACATGAAATGCTTATTACTAAGTGAAAGAAGTCAACCTGAAAAGGCTACCCACTGTGTGACTCCATCTGCATGACCTTCTGGAAAAGGTGGAACTATGGAGACAGTATAAAGATCAGTGGTTGGTAGGAGTTAGGGCAGCTGGAGGGCAGGTGGGGGCGGGGTGTGGGGGGGCAGGCAGAGCACAGAGGATGTTTACGGCAGTGAAACTATTCTGTGGATACCGTCACGGTAGATCCGTGTCATTACACATTTTCCAAACCCACAGAACGTACACCAACAGTGAACCCACAGGTAAACTATGGACTTTAGTTAATATTAATGTGAAATTGTAAAATCAATAATAAAACATACCACACCAATGCAAGATATTAACAAGGGGGGAAATGGAGGTCAGAGTGAGGCAGTATAAGAGAATTCCCTGTACTTTCTGCCCAATTTTTCTGTGAACCTAAACTGCTAAAAAAAAAAAGTTATATTAATTAAAATCAGCAACAAAACAAGAGGCGATGATGAGAAAATGTCAGATACAACAATTTGAATGTTTTCAGCTTCTTTTCCATTATTTGAGATTTTAAATGAAGTTGGCTTTTTAAAATTAGAACACTGGAAAGAGTTCTGCTCCTTATTTTTAATATTGTGAGTTCTTAAGTTAGCATCACTTAATATGTCCCGAGAATTGCTACTTGCGTCTTAGTGAAGGTGAGGAGCAATGCACAGATGTTGGGCTGGGAAAGAAAAGATTTCGGAGAGGACCGCTCTAAGCATTGGCATCCAGCCACAGGGTGCAGCTTCAATTCTGGGGAGTTCTCCATGCAGCCTCCACTGCAGTTTAAAATGGGCTAAATGGATTTTTCCCGAACAATTAGGGTCCAGTGCAGATGGAAATCCATTTCCAAATGACCTCATTACACTGCTATGGTCTGTAACAATTTCGAGTGTGAAAAATTCAATTTTATACCAACACCACATTTCTGCACAGTCAAGAGTCTCTGAAGATTCAGACAACATTCATGACACGCCGCCCTGTGCGTGGGCTGCTGTGGCTCTGGTCCTCCCCAGTGGCAGCCTGGTGCTCACAGCCTTGCCCTCGGTTTCCCTCCTCCGAGGGGCCCTCCGTGTGCAGGCCACACGAGGAAGAGCAAAGCCGCTCCATGAGCCTCCCCTTTCTGGGCCGCCTGCCCCGTCTCAAGGTCTCCAGCCTTCGCCCAACCTTCCCCACTCTCTGCACAGCACAGGACCCTGGCATGGAGCGCCAGTTTCTGGGAGCTGAGACTCTGCCTGGGGGGTGGGCACGAGGGGCCAGGCAGGCAGCCGATGTCCACGCCTCTCACTCCTGTTTGTCTTCCTGGTCATAGTCAGCCCTACTGCCCTCGGCAGCCTCCTCCACTCGCGCTCGCAAAACATCCGTTTCCTACTCAGTTCATCCATATTGCTGGCAATAAGCTGTTTCTAAAATTCAAATTCCCCAAATGGCTGCTCCTGGCTAAACAATTTCAATGACTCCTCCTCACATTCACAGAACATCTCCACATCTGAATCCACCTTGCTCTCCAGCCCTGCCTCCTCTGGAAGCCACTGTGCACTCGATATCCTAGCGGTTCCCAAATCCATGCTCCGTCCAGGGCTGTGCCATTCCCTCCACGCGCCCTCAGTGCCAGCACCCCCATGCTGCCTGGACCATCACCACTAAGGGCCTCCCTGGTCCTTCGGGGTGAGCTGGTCACCTTCCTCTTCCCTCTCCCAAAATGACGGTCAACCTGGTAACTGTCATCATACATCACAATGAACAGCAAGCATTTGTTAACTTGCTTGTGATCAAATTGTGGGGCTTTCAGGAGCAAATATATATATTCCTCTTTATGACTGGCTCCCAAGAAAGTGTGGCACTGGATACACCCTCACAGCATTCTTAGCGCACTGTGGGTGACCGGTTGGATAATGACAAGACCAAACTCCTCTGTGTATCATTCATTGATTCAATAAATATGTACTGAACAACACTTATGTACTGTCCACTCTGCTGGAAATACTGTATTTAAACAAACAAACAAACCACAATGGGTGCGGCTTCCCAGAGGCAGTCAGGTCCCACCTTGAAAAGGATGGATGTGACTGGGGACACCAGGGCATGAGAACCCGGCGAGATTCAGACTCTAAAGCTGGGCCGGCTGCACCGCAACTGCAGCCGTGAGCAGCACAGGTGGTCACCTCCCGCCTCGAGGACCTGAGCAGCAAGGCCTGTGACAGCCTGGCCATTGACAAGTCCCTGCCACTGATCACCCTGGTCCTGCAGAGGCTGGCACCACGGTGATGAGGATTACTTCCTGTGTCTGCCTTCCAATACTAAGAGTATGGCATTGACCAATAACGAGACGAGGGCATAGGACAATTCTGATGGAGATATGGCTTGGGTTTCCAGGCATCCTTTGATGTGGATGAACTATAGCGGGGCATGGTTGAAGCAGAAGAATGTGGCCAGGCAGCTGAACAAGGCTCCATCCAGTGCCATCCTCCTATCAGAGGAAGACTGTCCCGTGCTCATTCATATTCTGTGTTCAGATCTGGCTCAGGAACTAAGCCAAGGCTGTGCCACCATCCAGGTTCGCAGGACGCGCTCCAGCAGGTGCTTCACAGAGGAAGTGGTCTGTCCGGGCAGCTCCTGGAGCTGTACCTCCCGGTTTTGGAGAAAGAGGGCAGCCTCTTGTCAAGGCAAGAGTAGTCCAAAGCAGCCTTTGGTGATGAGGCAGAGGCAGTAGACATGATTTTGACAAAAAGACCTCCTCTGGGCCGGGCGCAGTGGCTCATGCCTGTGATCCCAGCACTTTGGGAGGCCAAGGCGGGCAGATCACTTGAGGTCAGGAGTTTGAGACCAGCCTTATGAAACCCCATCTCTACTAAAAATACAAAAAAAAAAATAGGCATGGTGGCGTATGCCTATACTCCTAGTTACCTGAGAGGGTGAGGCAGAAGAATGGCTTGAACCTGGGAGGTGGAGGTTGCAGTGAGCCGAGATCACGCCATTGCACTCTAGCCTGGGCAACAGAGCAAGACTCCATCTCCAAAAAAAAAAAAAAACTCCCCTGAAATTGCACTGAGGAGCTAGTCCCTTCCCACACTGCAAGAGAAGCCAGCCCTGGAGCTGGTGTATCTACTCAGGATGTGGAGCTGCTTACCAAGGAAGACCCCAAGGCACTGGCTCTTGCTTTGAACGGGGACATTACGAAGACAAACTGTTCAAGAGGCTGGTGACCAGGTGCTCGCCCTGCACAGACGCAGAGCTTGCATTCTCGCCAGGAAGAACTCACTTTTGGAGACCCGCAGAACCCTAGGCCAGCCAGGCGAGACCCCACACAGCTGCAGCGGGAAGTGTGCCAGGGAAAGCCCTTGTCTCTGTTATTGCTATCAGCCTGGTTGTTTTACTACCCAAGCCCTACTCTACCGACTACCCTAGAGCACGTTCCACGACAGGGTGGGAGACTGGCTTTTTGCCCCTTCTGGAAAAGCTATCTCAGGTCTCAACATATGCCCTTCCCCCATTTTTTTCTTTGTTTTTGAGACAGAGTCTCGCTCAGTCGCCCAGGCTGGAGTGTAGTGGCGCAATCTTGGCTCACTGCAAGCTCCGCGTCCCAGATTCAAGCAGTTCTCCTGCCTCAGCCTCCCTAGTAGCTGAGACTACAGGCACCTGCCACCACGCCCAGCTAATTTTTTGTATTTTTAGTAGAGACAGGGTTTCACCCTGTTAGCCAGGATGGTCTCGATCTTCTGACCTCATGATCCGTCTAGGCCTCCCATAGTGCTGGGATTACAGGCATGAGCCCCTGCACCCGGCCCATTTTTTTCTTTTTTTAAAATTTTGGCCCAACCAGTTTCAGGACTTCCACCAATTTTTTTTTCCTTTGACACGGGGTTTTGCTCTTACTGCCCAGGCTGGAATGCAGTAGTGCGATCTCAGCTTACGGCAACCTCCACCTCCCAGGTTCAAGCAATTCTCCTGCTTCAGCCTCCTGAGTAGCTGGAATTATAGGCATATGCCACCAGGCCTGGTTAATTTTGTATTTTTAGTACAGATGGGGGTTTCTCCATGTTGTTCAGGCTGGTCTGAAACTCCCGGCCTCAGGTGATCCGCCTGCCTTGGCCTCCCAAAGCGCTGGGATCACACGTGTGAGCCGCGGTGCTCGGCCTGGACTTCCACCAATTTTAAATAATATAGCTGCACCAACAATATCCTACCTCCTCTAATTACCCATTCTTATGTTCTCTGTATAACAGTAGTTGTTGACAGCTCAGCTGCACTGCCTAAGAGTTAGCACTGCTCCACAAGGAGCGATTTAAAAAAAAGAAAAACATTAACAAATAAGGAAACAAAAGTAACTGTCAGCCTGGGCAACATAGCAAGACCCTGTCTCTACAAAAAAAATTAAAAATTAGCAAGGTGAGGTGGCTCACACCTGTAGTCCTAGCCACTCAACAGGCTGCGACGGGAGGATCTCTTGAGCCCAGAAGTTCAAGGCTGCAGTGAGCCGAGATTGCAGCACTGCACTCCAGCCTGGGTGACAGAGCAAGACCCTGTCTCAAAAAGGAAAAAGATAATTGTCAAGGGCAATGAAAAGAAATGCTTGTATTTTGGACTCATCATCTTTATTCCAAAGATAGTACTGCAGAATTTTAAGCACAGATCATGGTAGAGGAGGTGACATTGGAGAGTGTTATGGCCACAAACTGGCTTCTCAAGTTAATGAGTTTTTTTGTTTCAAGGCACATTAATTACGTTACGAACATTAAATTAACGCGACGTTACTTTTGCAGACCCTACGGACATACGGAGAGTCTACTTCACCATTTCTAATACCTAATTCAGTGGTGTGAAATTGTATCTGTTAGCACTGTAAAACTCTTTTCCCTTTCCTAATTGTTTTATCAGCAGGGGATGTAAAAGCTCATTAAAGCAATTTCCATGTGGAAAAAATTTAAAATTAAATAATCAGCCCTGAACTTACATTGAACTACAAGGTCACGGATTTTCTTTCACTTTACTTACAAGCTAATAAGTTGCCTTTTGCTATTTCATTGACGCTGCTAGAAGTCGGGAGACGCGTCGATCAGAGACCAGGGTTTTATTCCTCACTGCGCAGAAGACAGCACGGGCAGGAGTCTGTGGTTCCCTTGGCCCCACATCCCACAGGGCCGCGTGGAACAGCTCAGCTCGGTGCCGGGTGCACGCTGGCTCTGTGTCCCGGCCGAGGCACACGGACGCTGGGACCCTGTTCTATAGCAGACAGTCGATGCCTGCTCCTTGTCCGCGGGGGACACATTTCCTCCTCCCTCGAGGATGGCTCCCTGCACGCACAGCCCTGAGAGATGGTCCGGGAAAGAGCAATCCAGCCACAGTGCTCTGGACACGCCTGAGGAAGACACTTACACGTGGGAAGGACCCTGGGACTGTCTTTCCCAACAGCTATGGGCTTCATGAGGAGAATAGGGAATTAGGGCAGCCCCGGGCTGGGGCTTTAGCAAATAACAGCAGGTGCAGTCAGTTCCAGGCAGGATCCGGCGGTACACAGGCCACAGCCTCTCTCCTGTGATAAGAAGACAGAAACCTCCACTTCAGCCTCTGATTGACCACGGCCTTCTCCACTTCAGCATCTGATTGGTCACAGGTCCATCCTTCATAGGGAATAACCAACTGGAGGCCGCTAAAGGGCACCTAGGGGTATTGCCAAGTTCTTTTGGCTTTATAAAAATCCTAATTGGGCCAGGCGCGGTGGCTCACACCTGTAATCCCAGCACAAGGTGGGTGGGTCGCTTGAGTCCAAGAGTTCGAGACCAGCCTGGCCAACATGGTGAAACCCCATCTCTGCTAAAAATACAGAAATAAGCCAGGCGTGGTGACAGGTGCCTGTAATCCCAGCTACTCAAGAGGCTGAGGCACAAGAATCACTTGAACCCCGGAGGCAGAGGTTGCAGTGAGCTGAGATCGCACCACTGCACTCCAGCCTGGGCAACAGAGTGAGACCCTGTCTCAAAAAAACAAAACAACAACAACAAAAAACCTAATTAGAGAGGCTCTTGAGCCGCTTGCTCAAGCCCATCCCACTTTGTGAATTGTGCTTTTGCTTCTTCAATAGATCTGTGCCTTGGTTACTCCCTCTGTTCTTCTGTTGTTTTGTTCTTTTGTTACTTTGTGCATTTTGTTCAGTTCTTCGTTCAACACGCCAAGAAACTGGACAACTCTATCCAGTAACATTCTGTTCTGAAGCCACAAAGATAATAAGATGCCTGTACTGAGAAGTCCAGGTGGCATTTTCTTACCCCCATCTTGACACTGCCGTTTTCTGTTTCGAACCCCAGTCCACCCCACAGCTCCAAACCACCCTCCCTGCCTCCACCTACAGCTGGCACCTGCTGCCGCGTCGTCGTGGGGCTGCCGCTGTGATCTGAGCCCGGGAGCAGGAAGGTCAGGCCTTGGTGCACCGGCTGGCCAGTCCAGACAGGAGTGCCTGCCTCACTCCAGGACTATGGACAGCACCTGTGATTTGCAGGTCCTTTCTTAAATTAACACCCACAGTCTAATTCCCAATGAACCTTGGACCTTCTCTAGCTCCCTGAATTGTCCAGGCCTAGCCTTGCAAAGTGATTGTGTGTGCTCACTAAGGACGTGTGACCTGTAATTTGTTTTTTAAAAAAAGAAAAGGGGACCGGGCGCAGTGGCTCATGCCTGTAATCCCAGCACTTTGCGAGGCCAAGGTGGGTGGATCACTTGAGGTCAGGAGTTCAAGACCAGCCTGGTCAACATGGTGAAACCCTGTCTCTACTAGAAATACAAAAATTAGCCAGGTTTGGTGACAGGTGCCTGTAATCCCAGCTTCTCAGGAGGCTGAGGCATGAGAATCGCTTGAACCTGGGAGGCGGAGGTTGCAGTGAGCCAAGACTGCACCACTGCACTCCAGCCTGGGCGACAGAGCAAGACTCCATCTCAAAAAATAATAAATTTTAAAAAAAATTTTTAAAGGGAAAAGTAGAAATATTTTAAACGTTTAGCTCTAATAACAGCCTATTTTAACTGTATCAAAGAAGAAGGCGATTTCATAAGGCATTCCAGAAAAAACAAAATTCTAGCAGCGTTTGGGCTCCTAAACCGATCCAGCCATTTCCCTATGAAATGCCCTCAGGCCATCTCCATTTGAAACATGACGAATTGAGGCTTCCAGAGGTGAGATAGGAAACTGGCTTTTGAGTTTAACAATTCTCTGCACATATTCAGTTCTAGAGCACCAACCAGCTTTCACCATAATAACCATGAAGAGATTGTACAGGAATTCCTTATTTGAATTAAGTAATTGACACCAAGCAAACGTTTTACAGATTTATGCATTACGAAGGAGCTATGAAGGGCTAACAGACTTTGTAAAGTAAAACATATTTTATATTTGCTGCCTAAGGATATGTTTGGCTTCGGGGAAATGAAATTAGATTCACTAGATGAGATTCGAAGTGTAAAGCTCTGCAGTGTTCAGGGTCTCCCACAAGAGGGCAGTGTGCTAGCATTTGGAAGCAGCGGAGCCTCTTCCTGGACTCAGCTTGAATTGGAATTGACAACTAAGAAAACTATGATTAAACCCTGATTCTTAAGTTTATCTCACATAAAGCCAGTGTTCAAGGATGTTGAATAAACAAGGATTAGTAAAACAACATTGTATTTCAAAATATGAGCAGTCCAATAAAAGCTATCGCAGAGCTAGTTGCCCTACTCAACAGGAAGTAGTATCTCCCATAACTAGCAATTCTCCTCTGAACTAATGAGCTATCACCCAGAAAGTAAACTGCATGTTAGATTAACAAGAAAATGTATAGGATACATTGAGTAGGAAGTGGCTGAGATATTTTAATTTTAATCCTTCATCAAAATCAGCCAATAACTGTTGTCTCTTCTAAGCTATTCCTTGCATGAAAAATCCTTACCAGCTGCCACTGGACTCTGGACAGAGGTCTCTGCCCCCACATGGGCCTCCCTTCTCCTGTTCCAGGTGGTAGAGAAGTTTCACAGCATCTCTCAGGAGAAGGCTGAGCACCCAGCGGTGTAGACCACAAGGATAAATCAGATGTGATGTCGTCCACATAGGGCTGGGGAGTTTTCCACAGAAGCTTCTACATTATATAATGTACAGACTTAATCTTGTTTTAACTCATTAACCGTTTTAATTCTTTTGAGGCCAGGCATGGTGGCTTATGCCTGTAATCCCAGCACTTTGAGAGGCCGAGGCAGGCGAATGGCTTGAGCTCAGGCGTTCAAGACCAGACGAGACAATGGTGAAAACCCATCTCTACAAAAAAAAAGACAAAAATTATCCAGACGTGGTGGCATGTGTCTGTAGTCCCAGCTACTCTGGAGGCTGAGGTGGGAGGATGGCTTGAGCCCAGGAGGTAGAGGTTGCAGTGAGCCAAGGTCACACCAGCGCACTGCAGCCTGGGCGACAGAGCCAGACCGTGTCTCAAAAAAAAAAGTATTGAGTGCACTTGTGTGTTTCCCCTTCTTAGTCATTCTGCACACCAGGGAACCAAGAGAGGAAGGAAAGAGAGAGACCAACAGAGAGACAAAGACAAAGACAGAGAGACAAGGACGGGAGAAAGGGAGGGAGATGGGGAGGAAGAAAGCCAATTTCATTAGGTGTCGTACACAACATCAGAAAACTTTAACACCTATTTCCTATTTAACCCTAACACATGCTTGGTCTCAAGATAGATTAGCAAGAACCATTCCCCACCTTAATGTGGCTGGTGTATTCGTCTGTCTTGCGTTGCTATAAGGAACACCTGAGGCTGGATAGTATATGAAGAAACAGGTATATGTGGCTCATGGTTCTGCGGGTTGTTCCAGCATCTGCTTCTGGGGAGGCCTCAGGAAGATTTTTCTCCTGGCGGAAGGTGAAGGGGGAGCAGGTGTGTCAGGTGGCAAGAGAGGGAGCAAGAGAGAGAAGGAGGTGCCAGGCTCTTTTTTTTTTGAGACAGAGTCTGGCTGTGTCGCCCAGGCTGGAGTGCAGTGGCGCGATCTCAGCTCACTGCAAGCTCCGCCTCCCGGGTTCACGCCATTCTCCTGCCTCAGCCTCCTGAGTAGCTGGGACTACAGGCGCCCGCCACCGCGCCCGGCTAATTTTCTGTATTTTTTAGTAGAGACGGGGTTTCACCGTGTTAGCCAGGATGGTCCTGATCTCCTGACCTTGTGATCCACCCGCCTCGGCCCCCAAAGTGCTGGGATTACAGGCGTGAGCCACCGCGCCCGGCCAAGAGGCGCCAGGCTCTTTAAACAGCCAGATTTCCAGTGAACTCACTGGAGACAGCAGGAAGGCACCAAGCCATTCAGGAAGGATCCGCCCCCACAACACAGTCACCTCCCACCAGGCCCACCTCCAACACCGGGCGTCACATTTCCACAGGAGATTTGGAGGGGACACACATCCAACTATATCAATTGGCTTGTTCTTGAAAAAAAAAAATCACTTGTAAGGAATTGTGCTGGGCTCAAATACAATGACCCCTCCTCCCCTGTGGGAGCCTTGCTGTCTCCCAGAGCTCCTGCTACCCCCACAGACTCCCTCCTCTGCCCCCAGTGCCCTATCCCCATGAAAATCCCCTTTACTTGAAAACCAAGCCTGCCTGGCTCACCCCTCTCACCTGGGACTCCGACAGCCAAACATTGTTGTGGTTGTGAATGCTGGGATGAGAAAGCTGGAATGTTTAGCTTTGGGCTCACATTTCTCTACCCAGGTTGAGCTGGGCAATAGGAAATAACCTCTAATTTAGAATTCTAAACACGAAACATATTCACTATCTGATATAGTAGTAAGTTTAGGGGAGGAAAAACCCCTGAAACTCAGCCCCCAAACAGCACAAACCCTGACTGGAGTGAGATTTTTTGTCCCCACCCACATGCCTGCCATGAGTAACAGAAATTGCTTCCTGAAGATAATACATCCAGATCCTCAAATCATTTCTACAACCTTTAATAGGCAACAGCAACATTCAACCAAAACTTACCTGACAGAGATAAGACAAGAAAGAAATTACCGACAGCCAAGAAAAACAGGCAATAGGAAGAGATCGCGGGAATTTCAGGGGCTGGAGTTATGAGATGCGTCCTCTAAAAAATATGGGGTTACTCCATCCAAGTACTGAAGTGAGCCGATGGAGAATTTCACCAGAAAAGTGAAAATTATAATAATAAAAGAATCAAGTAGAAGTTTTAGAAATGTGAAATGTGATACGGAAAATAAGAACTCTAACATGGACTGTAGGCAGCAAAGGAGGGGACGGGAAAAGTGGGCGAGTCCTCCGAAGCATTTGCACAGCCAGGACAGGTGGAGAACGGAGGAGGGAAATGGGCAGGGGGCACAAGAGACCAGGGCGCTCAGGACGGGGGAGCAGGTCCTCTGTGCACACACAGCCCCAGAAGAGAAGAGAGAATGGGGCAAAAGAATCATAAAGGAGGTGAGAACCAATGATTATTTTTATTTATTTATTTATTTTATTTATTTATTTATTTTTGAGACAGAGTCTCAATCTGTCACCCGGGCTGGAGTGCAGTGGCGCGATGTTGGCTCACTGCAACCTCTGCCTCTGGGGTTCAAGTGATTCTCCCACCTCGGCCTCTTGAGGAGCTGGGACTATAGGCGCCCACCACCATGCCCAGCTAATTTTTGTATTTTTAGTAGAGATAGGTTTTCACTGTGTTGGCCATGCCAGTCTTGAACTCCTGACCTTAGGTGATCCACCTGCCTCGGCCTCCCAGAGTGATGGGATTACAGGAGTGAGCCACCATGCCCGGCCCAATGATTTTTTTTTTTTTTCTGAGACGGAGTCTTGCTCTGTCACCCAGGCTGGAGTGCAGTGGTGCAATCTCAGCTCACTGCAACATCCACCTCCTGAGTTCAAGCAATTCTCCTGCCTCAGCCTCCCGAGTAGCTGGGATTACAGGCACCCGCCACCACACCCAGCTATTTTTTCTATTTTTAGTAGAGACCGGGTTTCACCATGTTGGCCAGGCTGGTCTCGAACTCCTGACCTTGTGATCTGCCCACCTCAGCCTCCCAAACTGCTGGGATTACAGGATGGTTTTTAATAACCAATCAAAGTCAAGTTAAACTCCAGCAGAAACAGATGAGTTTCCTGATGGTTGTGCACAGGCTTCGGACCCAAGGCAAGGTCTTCCTGTCTCGAGGCCTTCTGCCATCATCCTGCCTCCCCAGACATACCCCAGTGATATCGTTTGGATGTTTGACACCCCCAAAACCTCAGGCTGACATTGGATCGCCAGTGTTGGTGCCGGCCTAGTGGGAGGTGTCTGGTCACTGGTGTGGTGGGAGGCGTCTGGGTCACTGGTGTGATGGGAGGTGTCTGGGTCACTGGTGTGGTGGGAGGTGTCTGGTCATTGTGGTAGGAGGTGTCTGGTCACCGGTGTGGTGGGAGGTGTCTGGTCACCGGTGTGGTGGGAGGTGTGTGGTCACTGGTGTGGTGGGAGGTGTGTGGTCACTGGTGTGGTGGGAGGTGTCTGGTCATTGTTGTGGTGGGAGGTGTCTGGTCACTGGTGTGGCCCCTACATAAATGTCTTGGTGCCATCCTCACTCTATTTGTCTCATCTCATTAGCTCTCGCGAGATCTGATTGTTAAAAAGAGCCTGGCAGCTCCTTTCCTCTCTCTCTGTCCCTCTTTATGGCTTTTTTCCTCTTGGCATGTGATGCCTGCTCCGCTTCCCATTCCGCCATGACGCCACGAGCAGAATGATTTCTCACATTTTTTTTTTTTTTTTGAGACGGAGTCTAGTTCTGTCACCCAAGCTGGAGTGCAGTGGTGTGATCTTGGATCACTGCAACCTCTGCCTTCTGGGTTCAAGCGATTCTCCTGCCTCAGCCTCCCGAGTAGCTGGGATTACATGTGCCTGCCATTACGCCCAGCTAATTTTTGTATTTTTAATAGAGGCGGGGTTTCACCAATGTTGGGAAGGCTGGTCTCGATCTCCTGACCTCAGGTGATCCGCCCCCCTCAACCTCCCAAAGTGCTAGGATTACAGGCATGAGCCACTGCGCCCGGCCAATTTCTAATATTTCGGAGGCCTCACCAGTCGCAGATGCTGGCACCATGCTCCCTGTGAAGGCTGCAGAGAGGTGAGCCAAACACACCTCTTTTCTTTATAAATTACTCAGCTTCAGGTAGTCCTTGATAGCAAAACAAATGGACTAAGACACTCATCCTAACTCAGACCCCAGCTTCCCCATGAAGCTGTCAGCAAGACAGCAGCTATGCTCCCCTCCTCCCTCCAGAGTCTGATGGCCTCAGTCCCAGCACGTAGTTCAACCTCCAACTTGACTCTGCCTACCTCATGCAAATGAGCCTATCTCTTTATTCTTCAGGATCCAAAATGGCAACTCCCTGAAGCCAGAGAACCCATCAGAACTTAAAAGTAGACAATTTTTTTAGAGCAGTTTTTGGCTCACAGTAAAATGCACAGAAGGTACAGACACCTGCCATTCGCTGCCTGTCCCCTCTCCCCTGCACGCATAGCCACCCCCCACCAGCAAGTGTGGTGCATTTGTTACCATTGGTGAACCCACATGGACACGTCTTCATTGCCTGGAGTCCGTGGTTTACACGAGGGCTCGCTCTAGGTGTTGTTCATCCTCTGGGTCTGCACAGATGTACACTGACTCTTATCCACCATGACAGTGCCATGCAGAGTAGCTTCACTGCCCTGAAGATCCTCTGTGCAGTGTAACTTCATCACCGTTAGGAAGAAAACAATCTCTTTTAACATCACGTGTGAATAAGACAGATGATGTCCCAGCCCACCATGGGGCTTCCCATTCTTGTGAGGTGGGAAGGGCAGGACAGAAAATAAACAGTCCACAAAGAGATAAAAATAATTATCATGTCATTTTTATGACATGATAGATCATTCTATCATGAATGTTTAAGATCATTCAATGAGTGAAATGCAAGGACATGAGCGAGTAAGAGAGGGAGGCAGGCCCGACAGGTAGTGGCGTCCCAGGTGGTAGCTCCTCCTCGGAGCCCAGCCAGAGTTGAGACCTGAAGGATGAGGAGGACTTGGTCCTTGGACAATAGAAGAAATAAAGACCCAGGTAGAGAGGCAAAAGCAAATGTGAAGGCCCAGAAGCTTGAAAAGGCTGAGCCTGTCCTGGGAGTTATCAGAGGCACAGTCTGATCAGAGTGGAGTCAATAAGGAGTGGTGGTGAGACCCACGTTGGGTAAGGACAGAGACGTCCCATGCTTGACTCCTTGGACATGTGACCTCAGCTTCCTTAGCTGTAAAACGTGACAGGTGGCCAGGCGCGTTGGCTCATGCCTGTAATCCCAGCACTTTCGGGAGGCCGAGGCGGGTGGATCACGAGGTCAGGAGATCAAGACCATCCTGTCTAACACTGTGAAACCCCGTCTCTACTAAAAATTCAAAAAATTAGCCAGGCGTGGTGGCACGCAGCTGTAGTCCCAGCTACTAGGGAGGCTGAGGCAGGAGAATCGCTTGAACCCGAGAGGCGGAGCTTGCAATGAGCAGAGATCACACCACTGCACTCCAGCCTGGGCAAGAAAGCGAGACTCCGTCTCAAAAAAAAACAAAACAACAACAACAAAAAACACAAAACAAAATATGACAGGTGCCACTTGCTGTTGTGGAGGACATCCAGATGCTGTGAGTGATAAAGAAATGCGTGATGGCAGAATCTTTGTTTCCAAGAGTTTATAATTTGGTGGAAATAAAGTGGAGAAGCAGGAAGACCTACACAGTGGACTGGCAGAGCAGCAGAGTCCCTTGACCGTGCTGCAGGGCATTTCAAAGAGGACGGCAACGGGAGGTAAAAGAGGACGGCGAGGGGAGGAGGTGTCTGCTCCCAGGGAAACCTCCCCTGGGTGTTTGGCGATGTCTTCCCCACGTTCACATGATAACCTTTATCTGTCATGAGCAGGTGAAGGTTCAGATAAACACACAAACAGTGATCCTGTCAACATTCTTGTGCATGACCTTGTGTGCAATATGTTTGCATTTCTGCTGGTCGTGGGGAATCACAGTGTCGCCATGGAAGCTTCAGTTCAGTTTCAGTGGTTATTGGTCCAGGGTCAATGCAAAAATGTTACTTCCCCCCAGGGGTGCGCAAGTGAGTTCAGTTTCCACACAGTAGTGTGTGAGTGAGTTCAGGCCCCCCCGTGGTGTGTGAGTTCAGTCCCCTCAGTGCTGTGTGAGTGAGTTCAGTCCCCCCATGGTGTGTGAGTGAGTTCAGTTCTCCTCAGCAGTGTGTGAGTTCAGTTCCCACCAACAGTGTCTGAGTTCAGTTTCTCTGTATCCACACTGATTCCTGCTCCTCTTTCCTGACTTTGCTGTCCTGGCGGCTATGTAGTGATATCTCACTGTGGTTGTAAGCAGCAGCCACTGATGAATAACACAGGGGAGCATCCGTTGAGTAGCCATTTTGATCTTTTCTTTGGTACAGTGCTTGTTCAGGTCTTTTGCCCATTTCTCTATTTAAATCGCTTGTTTTTTCTAATTGATTTGTAGGAATTTCTTGCATGCTCTAAACTCAGGGGTCAAGGCTGTGGTCTGGTGTTGGTGTGGGTGTTGCACTCCTGCTGTCCCAGTCCCAGGTACTTGGGAGGCTGAGATAGGAGGATCGCTTGAGCCTGGGACGTCAGGGCTGCAGTGAGCCGAGGTTGCACCAGTGCACTCCAGCCTGGGTGACAGAGTGAGATCCTGTCTCAAAAATAATAAAATAAAATAAAATAAAATAAAATAAAAATAGTCAGGGATCAGCAAACTTTTCCAGTAATGAGCCAGAAAGTTAACCTTTTAGGCTTTGTGAGCCATGTGGTCTCTGTGGGACCTTTTCTCCTGCTGTCACGTAAAACAGCTGCAGACAATACTAAACCCATGAGCCTGGTGCTGTTCAGTTTATCTTATTTTGATGGACTTGAAAACGTGAACAGCATATCATTTTTACATGTCACAAAACATCATTCTCCTTCTACATTTTTGAACCATTAAAAAAAAATAAAATTCATGGTTAGCTTACAGAGAATACAAAATAAATGGATGGTGGACCTGATTTGGCCTGAGGGCCTTGTTTTGCCAGCCCTGCTCTAGATGAAGATCCTGGGTCAGTTACACACCCGGCAATAGCTTCCCTCAGGTTCCTAATGTTTTCCTTTGAGAAATGAAAGTGTTTTCCTTGGATGCAGCCCTGGTTCTCCTTCTTCCTTCGGGCAGGTGGCTGGTTTGGACTGGAAGGAAAGTGCATCTCCCCTGCTCTTTAGTGTCCTCTGGAGGGATAGGAGCACCCACAGATCTGCAATGATGGGTGCCAGCCGCCCCCGGCGGGGGAATGAGTGCTCACTATGAGGCAAGTGACCACCACGAGCAGGAAGGTCCCTCCCACTGAGGGACGGCTTGTGCAGTCCTGGCCTGGGGGCTGATCTCCACCATGGTTCCAATCTCCTCCTGCTATGCCTTTGCCATTTTCAGAGCTTATTCTCTTTCTCTGCTCTGAACAAATAGGCAGCCTAAAACTACAACCTTTAAAACTCTCCCATAAAGAAACCTGTGGCGTTGATGAATGTAGGGGGGGCTTCCCACTAGGAGGGGATGAGCGGGGCTTGATGTTTCCGCAGATGTCTGTGCCCGCACTGGCGACTCCGATACTCCAATGCAGGTTCATCAACTGTAACACACGGACCACTCACGGCGTTGGCCGTTCTCTGGTTTGGGCACATGTAGAATGACACGTACCCACCATTACAGTGTCACTGCCTAAAATTCCTTCGTGCAGCATCCCTTTTCCGCTGGTAGGGGGGAAGCAACCTCTTTGAGCCTCACGGTGTGAATAAACACAGATGATCGTCCTGTAGAAAATAGCTGCTCCTTCATTTCCACCTTCCAAATTTCTGCAAATCTCTCTTTCCTCCAACAGGACGTTGGAACCATTCAGGGAAGGGAACTTTGAGAAACACAGATTAGCTAAGAGAACGCGGTACAGAGCCACTCAGAGAGAAGACAAATGCGTCATCACGACAAAGGCTCGACGCTGATAGGGTCAAGGCCCTTCTAGTGACAGAAGAGAGAGGGGAGAGCCAGCGGAAGGAGCCGCGTGCCTGGCGGGAGGCTCCTTGAGGACGAGAGAAGATGAAAACTCGGGAAGGCAGCTCCCTAGGCAGGTCTTCCGTGATATGCAGGAACTATCCCGGCTGGGAATGTGACGGTGAGACGTGACACCGCGAAGGATGGCAGCACGTGCACAAATAAGGGGTGAAGGTCAAGGGTGAGGTCTGGAAACGGGCTGGCGTGGCCGGGAGGGGGACTTCCTGGAGGAAGGTGCAGGGCAGGAAATGGGAGCAGGGCCCCTGGATGGGGCCGGATCCGAGGGGAGGGCAGGCACCTAAACACTTCGAGTACCCAATGGCGTGCCGCATGACACTTGCTATGACCTTGGCATCAACACGGGACCCGGCTCGTGATGGGCAAACTGCACGAGGATAAAAACGTTCCCCTGAGATGTTAGGAGAAAAAAAAAATTGGCCGGGCGTGGTGGCTCACACCTGTAATCCCAGCACTTTTGGAGGCCGAGGCTGGTGGATCACCTGAGGTCAGGAGTTTGAGACAGCCTGGCCAACATGAGGAAACCCCGTTTCTACTAAAAATACAAAAATCAGCCAGGCATGATGGCACACACCTGTAATCCCAGCTACTCGGGAGGCTGAGGTACAAGAATTGCTTCACCCCGGGAGGCAGAGGTTGCAGTGAGCCGAGATCACACCATTGCACTCCAGCCTGGGCGATGAGAGCAAAACTCCGTCTCAAAAAAAAAAAAAAAAAGAAAAAGCGGAAAAAAAGTCACAAGAACAGCTAAACAGCTCTATGTGGCCCTGAGCCTGGCACTCCGGTAGCACTTGGTGAACGCTGGATGAATGTAGCACTTGGTGAATGCTAGATGAATGGCTTAATGAGTCAGCAAAGGAAGCTCACCAGTTCTTCTTTTCCATGATGAAAAGGTAGTTTCCCCATATGACCATAGGCTCTCAATGGGCAGGGAGCGATGGAGACAGCTCAGCCTTTGATTCTAGTCCTTACATGGAAGACAGCGTATTGCAGAGACTCAGCCACAAAGAGAACTGAATACGGTGTCTGAAATTCTCCTTCTCCTGAATTGTCAATGTTGGTGTCTTTTCGCTTCTGAACAGCATTCCGTGAGAGAACCACGACCCTGGCCCAAACGTGTAGGCTGTGGCTGGCTGTTTTGTTTTGTCGTGGTTTGTCTGGATGCACAAAAATGCTTAAGCTTTAAGTCTCTGATAGTTTACATTTTGTGATGTAAGAACAAGAAAAAAAAACTTCCTCCAACCTAATGCTCTCTGCAAACCAGAAACAAAGTAAACAAGCAAAACCTGCTCTGCTCAGCTTCCGTAATTCCAAATGTTTTATAAGGGTGACTGCAGCATTGGCGGCTTGCTATCTCCAGACTGTGGGCTGTCCCTCACAGCCAGGCCATGACTCAGTCACCTCTTGCTCTCTCGGGGTGTCTGCCCAATGGATTTGTCACAGAATCAGAGGCCCAGTGAGTGACCAAGGCTTGCCTGAGCAGGATATGAAAGCCGCGCTGCTAGAATCTAAGCTGGACCGCAGCATAGGCCACGCGCTTTCCATCCTACCTGCCCTGTAACGTGACTGACGTTAGCTGCGGTGGGGCGAGGAGCGCCGTCTTGTGTCCTGAGTTTGATCACCTCGTCAGACCACAAGTTGGAGGTGTGGGTTTCTGAAGTGACAACATCCTCACTGAAATTCTGCCCATGCACTTTCTCTTCTCATTTTGTTTCCACCCACCGTGACCTTTTTCCTCTTTTTCCACCCCAAAGGAAGAGAAATGTCAAGAAAATAACACTACAGAGCACATATGGAGGAAAGGCAGACAGTGCAAAGATTGCAATAACTGTGTTCCTCCAAGTTATAAGATGTGGAAATAAGACAAGTGATGGGTCCCACGTCCAACGTGGCTCGGCTAGAAGGTGCTTTCTGCTTTAATATGTGGGGATTTCTGGCTGTCTCTGGACTGTGCCCAACAATAAGCCCTAAAAAGTGAACCCTGATTCAGCTGTGAGGGCCTGAGGTCCAGCAGCTCTGCACTGTGGCTCTCTGGCCCCACCCACCCCAGCTTGTGACTGGTGAGTCACCCAGCCCAGCAGACACCATCGTGCCCTCTGCAGATGCACAAGCTGCTTCCTGCCTTGCTTTCCTCCCAGAGCTGTTTGCCATAAATGACCACACGTGTAAGAAAGCACATTGCATACTTCTAACATTCGGTGTGAGCACCACGTGTACACATAAACAAGTATCCGTGCGTTTATCTACAAAATAGAAGTAGTCCAAGGATATGGTACAGCTGTTAAAAGGCTTGACAAAATTGAAACACAGTAATGGTGCTTCTGAAGTTTGCCAAATTTCTATGATGATGAAAAAGCTTTTATCCCAGATACAAAACCTTTGTTCTCAGCATCATCTAGTGACAAGTCGATGGGACTAGGCATTAAGAGATGGGATGTGGATTAAGTAGGATCACTGGGTTTTGGTGAAAGACACCGTTATGAGTTGAATTATACCCCATTCAAAAAAAAAAGGTATGTTGGAGACCTAACCACCCCCCATACCTGGAAATGTGACTTTATTTGGAAATAGGGTCTTGTCTATTTCCAAAGAGGGAATGAAATTAAATCAAATTCAGATAAGGTCATGAGGGAGGATCCTAATTGAATACAGTCAGTGTTCTTATAAAAAGGGGAAACTGGGACACAGAGAGACACACACAGAGGAAGGACACCACGTGAGGACTGGAGCTCCACCACCGAGCCGAGGAGCCACTCAGCCCAGGGGCCACCCAGCCGAGGGGCCACCGGAGGCCAGATCCAGGCCCAGCTGGGACAGACCCTCCCCTGGAGCCTTCAGGGGAGCTCAACCCTGCGGACACCGGGATCTCCGACTTCTGGCTTGGGAGAGAAGACCGTCCTATTGTTTGTGGCACTTTGTTATGGCAGCCCTAACAAACTGATACAGACCCTAAAGCGAGAGGGGTGAACACAGTTCTGACTTTGAAGGCACCAAAGCCCACGTTTGCATTCCAGTTCTGATGCTTATTGATGGTGGCACCACCTGATTTCTCTGAGCTTATTTTCTTTTCATTTATTTATTTTTGAGAGGGAGTCTCACTCTGTCGCCCAGGCTGGAGTGGAGTGGCATGATCTCAGCTCACTGCAGCCTCTGCCTGCTGGGTTCAAGCGATTCTCCTGCCTCAGCCTCCTGAGTAGCTGGGAGTACAGGCACCCGCCACCATGCCCAGCTATTTTTTTTTTTGTATTTTTAATAGAGACAGGGTTTCACCATGTTGGCCAGGCTGGACTCGAACTCCTGACCTCAGGTGATCCACCTGCCTCAGCCTCCCAAAGTGCTGGGATTACCAGTGTGAGCCACTGCAACCTGGCTTTATTTTCTTTGTAAAAAGACATGTGTATCTATCTGAACACACAGATTACAGATACAGATGTGGACATAGATGTAGCTATGGACATAGATGTATATAGATATAGATATAGTAATATAGTTTAGATATTTGTCCCCACCCAAGTCTCATGTTGAGTTGTAATCTCCAGTGTTGGAGATGGGGTCTGGCGGGAGGGGTTTAGTTCGTGGGTGAAGATCCCTCGTGGCTTTGTGCTGTCCTCACAATGGTGAGTGAGTTCTCAGGAGGTCTGGGTGTTTAAGTGTGTGGCAGCTCCCCCAACCCACTCTCTCTCTCTCTGACTTCAGCTCTGTCCATGTGACACACCTGCTCCTGCTTCACCTTCCGCCATGAGCAAAAGCTCCCAGAGGCCTCCCCAGAAGCGGAGCAGATGCTGGTACGATGTTTGCGCAGCCTGCAGAACCGTTAGCCAATTCCACCTCTTTTCTTTGTAAATGACCCAGTCTCAGGTATTTCTTTATAGCAATGCAAGAATGACTTAACAGATATAGACACAGCTGTGATATGGGTATAGATGTAGAAATATAGAGATATGGGTATGGGTATAGATATTGATATGACTGTAGATGTAGATGTAGGTGTATATGTAGACACAGATAAGGATACAGACATATAATTGGCACGCGTACCTGGGATAACACAGATAAAGATGCTTCCTCTCTCTTCTCCTAGACCGGGAGCTCACTGGCAGCAAAGACCCCACATTGCTTCCTGTGTCCATCCCAGTGACACAGCTGCACCTAGGCACACAGCGGATGTCCTTGAGCACCTGTCAGGAAGGCTGACACAGCCTAACCCGCTTGCTCACTCCTCCGACCTCCCACGTGAATGGTACCCCACCAGCCACTATGGTGATGAACAACCCGAGGTCGGTGTCTGGCTGGAAGTTCCCTGGCCCTCAAAAATTATTTTATGTATGGAACATATGGTTTAATGTTTAAATTCTTTAAACTTGCCCGACATAATTGAGCTCACCGATTAGCCCACAGCTAAGGAGTCCTTGCCATTATATCTATGTCCTTCTCTTTATCTTGTTTCCAGCAGCCCCACCCTGCCCTGGCCTGAGCCCCCCACATCCCCCTTGCTGCAAAAATGAATCATTCCCCCTACCTTCCCCAGCTCTGCCCCAATTCCAGGTCAGGCTTTTGTGCTCCAGAAATCATCTACGGGTTTTCCACATAATGCCCATGACAATTTAGCGTCTCTTACCAACATCAGCATCAAGAAGCTACATAAAATGCGTGGATGTTAAATCTACAGTGAGAGCTCCTGGATAGCTCCGTGCCCCAGATTCGCTAATCAGCCTGCAAACCATTTGCACGCAGGCTTTCGTTTACAACAAGAGCTTACATTTTAGCATGAGGCAGAAAGACAAGAAACTCTCACAGATCTCATCTATTCTTCTTTTCAATTACTTTGTAATTCTACACTTCCATTAAGAAGTTAATTACTTCAACGTTAACCTTCCATCTATCTTTGTAACATAAAACAAAGATTGGATAAAAATACAAGGACTTACTAAAATGGCAAACGCTTATAGAACACTTACGAGGTGGCAGGCGGGGTTTTCAGGGCTCCGCTCATTGAGTATATTAACCGGGATTCCCGTGAGGGCTGTGAGACAAACACGGGCAGTGCTCAAAACGCTTCACAGCCAGTTCAGCTCCACGTTGATTGCTGAGTCGTGGAAACGTGCAAGGGGTCCCGGAGAGTCAACTGTTTACCAACTGGCTTGGGAGTATTCAAATGTGTAACAACGGAACGCTGATGTGCCGGGGTATGTGGCCTGAATCCCACCAGCCTCTGTGGCAGGAACAGCATCAGCCCATTTTATAGAGAAGGAAACTGAGGCCCAGAGACAGGAAGCGACATTCCCAGGGCTCACAGACAGCATGGGTGCAGATGGACCGTGCAGTCTGGTTTCCACAGCTGAGCCAGTGGCCTCTGCACTAACTGTCTCAATTCTGGGACTGGAAATGGACTGTGTGTGTACGTTACAATATTGTTTTAACAACCAGATACATTTTCTGACTTCCTATGAAAGCTTTCAAATGCACAGAAAAAGTGAAAAAGAAATAAGATGAATACTCATGTACCAAACAACCAGATCGACGATTCTTATTGTTCAGTCATATTTACTTCAGCACATACACATACACACCATCCTCACACACATACACATACACACACGTACACGTTCACACAGACACATACATACTCACACACATATGCTGACATACACACACACTCACATACACTCTTGCACACACAGCTGAGCCCTTTCAGAATAAACCACCATACTGTCACTCGAGCCCAGTGCTTCAGCACATTTCTCTTAAAAACATAAACTTTTGGCTGGGCACGGTAGCTCACACCTGTAATCCCAGCACTTTGGGAGGCGGAGGTGGGCGGATCACCTGAGGTCAGGAGTTCGAGACCACCCTGACCAACATGGAGACACCCCATCTCTACTAAAAGAAACAAAAATACAAAATTAGCCAGGCTTGGTGGCGCGTGCCTGTAATCCCAGCTACTTGGGAGGCTGAGGCAGTACAATCGCTTGAACCCGGGAGGCAGAGGTTGCGGTGAGCCGAGATCACGCCACTGCACTCCAGCCTGGGCAATAAGAGGGAAACGTCATTTCAAAAAAAAAGAAAGTCAGCAATAAGTCACTAAGACTACCGAATGCTCAGTCCATATTGAAATGTCCCCAGTTGTCCCTGAGGATGCGTCTGACCACTGCCTGTTGGAAAAGCCCCCAATCACGGCTCACATGGTGAGTGCAGTTGTCACATGTCTTTGGCTGTTTTAATCTAGACTCAACTCCCTGACACACACACACTCCCCAACCCGCTCCCAGCACACTGATCTGTTATGGAGACCTGGCCAATTGTCCACATTCTAGATTTGTCCGGTTCCCTATGGCTTCGTTTAACTGGTTCCTCTGTGGCCTGGATTTTCTGCCACATGGAATTTCAGCCTTGATTGGCCAGAAAGCTTCACAGGGAATACCTCGACTCACAGCATCATGCCCGGAGCCAGGTCCCCTCAGGCTGACCACACACATTTTAATGATAGTCAAAGATGTATCAAGCAAGATAATTCAGTAAAAAATTCTAATGTTAATAAAAATGCTGGCCAGGCGCGGTGGCTCACGCCTGTAATCCCAGGACTTTGGGAGGCCGAGGAGGGCGGACCACCTGAGGTCGGAAGTTCAAGACCAGCCTGACTAACATGGAGAAACCCTATCTCTGCTAAAAATACAAAATTAGCCAGGCATGGTGGTGCATGCCTGTAATCCCAGCTACTAGGGAGGCTGAGGCAGGAGAATCGCTTGAACCCCAGAGGCAGGGGTTGCGGTGAGCTGAGATCATGCCATTGCACTCCAGCCTGGGCAACAAGAGCAAAACTCCGTCTCAAAAGAAAAATAAATAAATAAATACATAAACAGATAAATACATAAATACATAAATAAATAAATAATCTGGTTGGGCGTGGTGGCTGAGGCCTGCAATCGCAGCACTTTGGGAGGCCAAGGCAGACAGATCACCTGTGGTCAGGAATTCGAGACCAGCCTGACCAACATGGTGAAACCCCGTCTTTACTAAAAATACAAAATTAGCTGGGCGTGGTGGTACGTGTCTGCAGTTCCAGCTACTCAGGAGGCTGAAGTAAGAGAATCGCTTGAACCCAGGAGGTAGAGGTTGCAGTGAGCCGAGATCACACCCCTGCACTCCAGCCTGGGCAACAAGAGTGAAACTCCGTCTCAAAAAAAAAAAAAAATCTGATGTTAAGAAATATGCTGGCTGTGCATGGTGGCTCACGCCTGTAATCCCAACACCATGGGAGGCTGAGGCAGGAGGATTGCCTGACCCTAGGAGTTCAAGACCATCCTGGGCAACATAGAAAGACTCTATTTCTACAAAAAATACAAAAATTAGCTAGAAGTGGTGGCTCCCACCTGTGGTGCCAGCTATTCAGGAGGCTGAGATGGGAGGATCGCTTGAGCCTAGGAAGTCAACGCTGCAGTGAGCCGTGATTGCACCATTGCCCTCCAGCTTGGGCGACAGAGCAAGACCGTGTTTCAAAACACACACACACACAGAGACACACACAGACACAGACACAGACACACAGAGACATACACAGACACACACACACAGACACACACACAGACACACAGAGACATACACAGACACACACAGACACACACACAGACACACAGAGACACACACAGACACACACACACAGATACACATACAGACACACACGAACACACATACAGACACACACAGACACAAAACAAACCTGCTGAGACTGAGGTTTGGATGCCCCTTAAGTTCAGGGGTAGTGATGAAAGTGGAGTCGTGTCAGGGAAAGCAAATTTAAATTCCCCAAAGTGCTTGTTCTGGTCATAGAGCTTTGTCCATTTCCTAAAAGAAAGCCTGTCTTGCGGTGTGGGCCGGTAACCTGGCTCCGGGCTTGTCCCTTTTGTGGGGAAGTATTTAACAGTCAGCGGCCAGCCTGTCTTGTCAGACAAAGATCCATGTTTTGTACTTAACCTTGATACCCCAAATTCTTGACACCCCAACCTCTGGCAATCGGTCCATTGAGAAACCCTGTGGACAAAACAGAGGAGGAGGGTGGGCAGCAGGTGAGAAGATGTCATCGGCCTACCTGGTTATCTTTTTCACTCTTAATAGAATCTTTCCAAATATCATTTTCTTCTTATTATTTGCTTTTTATTATGAAAATTTCCAAACATATAGACATGTTGAGATGACAATAAATAAGGAACAGAAACATGCTCTTATCTTTAACGGCTGCTAACGTTTTGCCTTCTTTGCTTCATCTAGCTTTCTTTCTTGCTGATGTATTTTAAAGTAAATTGGGGACATGACGACATTTCATCCCTAAAAGCATCTCTACACATCTCTAAAAAATAAGAACCTTTTCCTGTAGAACCACAATGCCACTAACCATCCCATAAAATTAAGGATCTAACATCATCTAATGCTGGCTATATCCATAATTTCCCAATTACTTGAAAAATGTATTTTCCAACTGGTTAGTTGACATCTGGATTGAATTCAGGACTACACATTTGGTTTTCTGTCTTAAGTCTCATTCAATGGAATAGTCCTGTCACTTTTTTTTATTCTTTCATAGCATTGAATTGTTGAGAAGACAATGCCTGAAGTCTGAATTCGTCTGTTTCCTTGTGGTGTCATTTAACTTGTTTCCTATTCCCTGTATTTCCTGCTGACTGGCAGGTTGATCAAGAGTTCTATGTATTTAAGTTAAATATTTACTCGAGAGTCTCTCACAGGTGGTCCTGTGTGCTTCCTACTGGACAGCCTCAGAAGGCATGTGGCTCACATCCCACTATGATGACGCAAAGATCTTCCTCTGAGTTAGACGGTGGCAGCCTCATCTCCTCATCAGCAAGGTACATTCTCCCCTTTCTGATAATTACATAAGTTGGGAGGTTGGTACGTGGCAAGGTGTGCAGCTCCTCACTGTCTTTCTGCCTAATGGTTTCAGGAATCTGTTACTGATTCTTGCCCACCTCATTATTTTTATTAGGAGTTCACAGATGGTGATTTTGAAATTTTGTCATTCCTGGCTGGGCGCGGTGGCTCATGCCTGTAATCCCAGCACTTTGGGAGGCTGAGGTGGGCAGATCACCTGAGATCAGGAGTTCGAGACCAGCCTGGCCAATACGGTGAAAACCCATCTCTACTAAAAATACAAAAATTAGCCAGGCATGGTGGCAGGCACCTGTAATCCCAGCTACTCGGGAGGCTGAGGCAGGAGAATGGCTTGAACCCAGGAGGTGGAGGTTGCAGTGAGCCAAGATCACGCCATTGCACTCCAGCCTGGGTGACAAGAGTGAAACTGTTTCAAAAAAAAAAAAAAAAGAAAGAAAAAGAAAAAACAGGCTGGGTGTAGTGGCTCACACCTGTAATCCCACACTTTTGGAGGCCGAGGCAGGCAGATCATGAGGTCAGGAGATCGAGACCATCCTGGCTAACATGGTGAAACCCCGTCTCTACTAAAAATACAAAAAAATTAGCCGGCTGTGGTTGTGGGTGCCTGTAATCCCAGCTACATGGGAGGCTGAGGCAGGAGAATTGCTTGAACCCGGGAGGCAGAGGTTGCACTGAGCTGAGATCGCGCCATTGCACTCCAGCCTGAGTGACAAGAGTGAACCTCCATCTCAAAAAAAAAAAAGAAAAGAAAATTTCTCATTCTCTTGCATACTCATTACTGTACAGTCCTAATCAAGGAGGGGGATTCAGGTTGGTGGGACCAAAGGAAAGCAAAAGGATAAGCTGTGAGTCTGCCTTTCTTCATTGTCCAAGACACACAGGCCCCCTGCACAAATAACTCAGTCTTCCTGTGCCCAGCAATCACCAGACCTTCGCTGATACAAAAATTGCAAGTTAGCTCCCTGCAACCTTGGCGTTACTAGCACTGCACATAGCCCTCTCCAGCACACACCACGAGCATGATCCTATCAAATCCCCTGCAAGTGTCTGTTTCCTGGCAGTCAGCTCCTCTCCTGCTGGCCTGCCCGTTGCTCCCTTGCAATGTACTTTCATACTTTTTCTAATAAATCTGCCTTTCTTTACCAACAACTGTCTTGGTAAATTCTTCTTAACCCCTGCATTACACCATTGGCTTTAGATAATCGCCAGGCACCCACAACAATTACTTTCCAGTCTTATGTAAAAATGAAGTTTCCCTCTCCACTGGGTCTCTTTATTTGTCTTTGACTATCTTTATTTGTTTTGAATATCTTTATTTGGTCTCAACATGTCTATCAGCCTGATTCTCTTTTGTAGTGAGGACGTTCTTATAAGCATTCCCAGGAAATAACGGATATTTTCAGAACTTGAGATCTTTCTGAGAGTATAGCAGTGATATACTTCTTCTCCAAAACACTTCAGCATCTAAAGCTGCTGTCGAACACACATTTTTCATCCTCAGACAACTACTCATAGGAAAGCACCCAAGAGGGAACTTGGTGGAAGGCTGGGTGAAAGTGGAGAGCAGGGACTATGGGCAAGCCGTCTGTAGACATCCCAACACCATGCCTGCTCTGAGGATGCAATGAGCTGGGGAAGGCTTGGTGGCTCAGTGGATAGTTCACAGCGCATGTCTGGGTTCAGCTGCTCACCTGGTGCCCTGGGGTCAAACAGGCCATCTCTGCCTGCCCAGAAGCAGGCCGGAAGTTCTTTCTTCAAAAGAGATCAGCCACTGAAGGAGAAGGAGCCTTGCTGCAAAGCTCCAGAACCCCTTCCGTGACAGTGCTGCTGGTCTTGTGATATCCTCTTCCCTACAGACCTCCGAGCCAATGAGATCTGCTGGGGCTGCCAGATCTGCTGGCTTCTAAGGGCCACTTCAGGTTGAGTCTATCAAGACCTTCGTCATTCCATGAAATCAAGACGTTCGTCATTCCATGAACTTCTCCCTTTCCCAGCAAGTGAAAAAGAAGTGACCCTTCTGGGAAAGGGAGAAGTTGGTGAAATGACACGGGTCTTGATAGACACAACCTGACATAGACTAACAGATGGGTTAGTCTAACTAACAGAGAGGTTAGTCTATGTCATGCATTAAACTTTCCTTTACTCTGGGTCCAAACCTTACAAAGTCCTCCATGGAGTCAGAGATTGGATCCCCACCCGACTCCCCTCGCTCTTCCCATCCTGTTTTCTCTCACTGGCATGGAGCTGTAGTCTCCAAGCCCCTCAGTGGCCCCACACAGACCCCTCCCCACCTTTGTGGTCTGGCAAGAAGCCTCTGCCCACAAGATACAAGTGCCTCCCCCCGTTCTACCCCTTCAGAGACAGCTGGCTTGTGTTACATGTTCTCTGAACACCGTGTCGCAGGTCCTGACATATCAGCTGCTCTTTACCTTGAAATGACTTAGATCACAACCGGTCTGCCCAGAGGGCTGGGGGTTGGACGCACCACAACCTGGCCCAGCCTCTCCTGCGGGGATGACCGACAATCCATCCAATCCATCGGGTGGCAGCCCCACTTCCTCAGCAGAGACAACATCCTGTTACACCCTCTCTTCATGCTGAGTGATTCTAACCTCCTCTGGAATGAACTCCATGCTTGCAGAGTCATCTTCAGAATGAGTCAGCTCCGCTTGTCCCAGGCAGGAGACTCACGAGTTGATGTGAAATGCGGATTCCCTATGAGACGGAGGACATTGCATGTCTCATCCCATCACGACCGTGTGGGTCTCGTTATTTCATAAGAGAGGGGGAAAATGTGAATTGGAATTTTATTTCCTAAGTACTGTTCTTGGTTTCTGACCAGCTGATCCCAAGTTTCACATCCTTGTCTGTGAAGCTAAACTCAATGCTGCTGTGTGGGAAGAAGATTTGTAAAGAAAACTCTTAGGTAAGTTTTCATTGTTTGGTGTTTAACAAATACACCACTTCCCTGTGCTGCTTTCTGGATCTGCCTACTTTGTAACATTCTACCTGACATTTTAAATACACAAAATTTCACTAAATTTCAGCCAGGCGCTGTGGCTCACGCCTGTAATCCTAGCACTTTGAGAGGCTGAGGCAGGCGGATCATGAGGTCAGGAGTTCAAGACCAGCCTGGCCAACATAGTAAAACCCCGTCTGTACTAAAAAAATACAAAAATTAGCCGGGTGTAGTGGTATGTACCTGTAGTCCCAGCTACTCAGGAGGCTGAGGCAGGAGAATTGCTTGAACTCAGGAGGCAGAGGTTGCAGTGAGCCGAGACCGCACCATTTCACTCCAGCTTGGGTGACAGAGTGAGAATCCATCTCAAAAAAAAAAAAAGAAATTTCACTAAATTTAAATTTCTTTTATACATCTGTATATTTGATTTATACCATATTATGCTGTATGTTTGGGGGAGAGGGGAGGCTAGGTTTGAGTCTATAAATTTGTTCCTAAAATAGTAACAGGATGAAAAATAAATCAAAGTGATTATACCTCTCTCTAGGTATGAATTAAGCATTCCTTTTTTTTTTTTTTTTTTTGAGACAGAGTTTTGTTCTTGTTGCCCAGGCTGGAGTGCAATGGCATGATCTCTGCTCACTGCAACCTCTGCCTCCCGGGTTCAAGCAATTCTCCTGCCTCAGCCTCCCAAGTAGCTAGGATTACAGGCAACCACCACCACACCTGGTTAATTTTTGTATTTTTAGTAGAGACGGGGTTTGACCATGTTGGTCAGGCTGGTCTAGATCTCCTGACCTCAAGTGACCCACCCACCTCGGCATCCCAAAGTGCTGGGATTACAGGCATGAGCCACCATGCCTGGCCTGAATTAAGCATTTCTTAAAGCTGCACTAAAGTCCTTTAGGTCACCCAAGTGCCATTTGATATCATTCCAAGAGATGAAGCTGGAGAGCAGGCCTATTTGGGGCAGCGGAAAGTCCACTTCGAGGCCAGCGTCCCTCTCTCTACAGTTTTAGTTTTTAAGCGGAGGTGTGTCCTCTTCCAGGATATACATTTTTCAAGCTCACCACCATTGATGTTGGGGCTGGGCCATTGCCGTGGGGCTGCCCTGGGCATTGTCGGAAGCCTGGTAGCTTCTCCCCTCTGAAGGTCAGCAGCAGCAACCTGCTTCTCAACCAAGGTCATGACAACCCAAAAACGTCTCCAGACACTGCCAAATGTCCCCACGGGAGGGGGCGTAGAGGACAGTGTGCTATGGTGGCCCCACAGTAGCTATCTTTGTTGCCCTAGAATCAACATGATCTTGTCAAGGCACTTTTTTTGGTTTTGTTTCGTTTTTTGAGATGGAGTCTTGCTCTGTAGTCTAGGCTGGAGTGCAGTGGCACAGTCTCAGTTCACTGCAACCTCTGCCTCCCAGGTTCATGTAATTCTCCTGCCTCAGCCTCCCAAATTGCTGGAATTACAGGCATGTGCCACGACACCCAGCTAATTTTTGTATTTTTAGTAGAGACAAGGTTTCACTAGCCTGGTCACGAACTCCTGACCTCAGGAGATCCACCCGCCTCGGCCTCCCAGAGTGCTGGGATTATAGGCACGAGCCACCATGCTTGGGCACTTTTTAAAGGCTGGTTGTTATGGGCATTTTTAAAGGCTGGTTGTTATGCCAATGGCTTCGTCCAATGGGGATTTAAGGCTTCTTTGGGTACTGATAATTACGGCTATTATCTCGGGGTTATCATTTTCAACAGGAAGAACCCTGCCAAATGTTGTTTGTCTGATCCTCAAATAGCAGAAGATTCAGGATCGTCTAGCTTTCATGTTGGAGGAGACTTTAGGGACCAATCTCATCCTTTTACACTTGTGGCTCAGAGAGGTTAAGCAACCCCTCCAAGGTCACACAGCCAGCAGAAGTAACACCCAGCATAGAGATCACCAAGACAGCATCAGAGCCCTTTAGTACGATATCCCGAGTGTCCCGCATGCAAGCCATCGGCACTGTGTTTTGTGGCTCAATATTTTTCAGTTTTTAAGAAAGATACACTTTTTGGAAAAAGAAATGGACACAGTGAATGCCCGCATCAGCAGAAAGACAGTTTTCTATAATGAGTTCTTTTTCTCTTTATTTCTAAGGTTTAATTTTGCCACACTTGCTAAAGAAAACATTATACACGGCCCTTATTAAAGAACGGTAAGACAGACTTGTCAACACAAAGAGTCAAATTTGTAAATTAGTTGATGAGATTTATTCTGAGCCAAATATGAGGACTTTGATTGATGACACAGCCCCATGAGGTCCTAAGAACTGCTGCATAAGGTGGTTGGGTTCTAGCTGGATTTTATGCATTTTAGGGGGACAGAAGTTACAGGCAGAAAATAAGAAAAGGGCAAGACGATCCCCTGCCACCTCCATGACGTCATTTCAGTTCTCTTCTCCAAACACCTCACAGTATCGTATTTCAAAATTCGGCTTTGTCATTTAGCAGTGTGTGGAGGTGTACATGTTGCCAATCGATACATGTAAGGTGTCCAGTGGTTTGGTCCAGAAAGGTGACACAACTCCATGGATGCAGGTGGAAGGTGTCCAGGTCACAGATGGATTCAACGATTTTCTGATGGGCAATTAATTGAAAGAGTTAAGTTATTATTGTAGAGACCTGGAATGAATAGAAAGGATTGTCTGGGTTACGATAAAGGTTGTGGAGACCAAGGTTTTTTATCTTCAGAGCTCTTATTGGACCTAAAAGAGGTGCCAGACTCTTAGTTAAATCTCTCCTAGATCAGGGAAAAGACCTGGAAAGGGAAGGGGATTCTGGCAGGATGTGGATTTTCCCCTCAAGAGACAGCCGTGTGGGGCCCCTTCAAAATATGTCAAAGAAATATATTCTGGGGTAAAATGCTTGATTTCTTCCAGGGCCTGCTCTCTATCATGTGATGCTATACTAGAGTCAGGTTGGAATGTAGTATCTTATTGCTACAGAGTCTGTTTTGTCAACCTTAAGATCTCTGCTTTGACGTTAATGCAGGTCAGCTGTGCCTGGATTTCAACGGAAGGCGGGTATAAGGAGCCTGTCCCACCCCCACTTCCCATCACGGTCTGAACTAGTCTCTAAGGTTTACTTTGGAAAGCTCGTGGCTAACGGGGTTGGCGGGGGACTAGAATTTTATTTTTGTTTTACAGTCTCAAAGGAATCGCGATAGGTGCAGGGGCCACTGCAGTGGGACTAGGCTCAACTCTGAGTGTAAGAAGAAAAACGGGAATGTACAGCCACGGAGAGGGTGAGAACGGACGGAAAACTATGAAGAGGCTACATCAGGCCAGGGGGGTTCTTGCTAGAACCACTTGGTAGGATTCGTGCCACAGGCAGGCCAGGTGATAAGATACCGAGGGTGAGGGATGAGGAGTATGATATCAGGGGCGGGGAACTGTCACTGCATTGACCCAGCAGGATTCTTTTGGACGAAAGGGGACAGGGGTCCAGGTCAGAGCCTTGAGGGCTTCGAGGACCCTGCCTGGAGTTAGGTCAGGTAGAGTCTTTGCCACATTGAGGCTGAGAAGCTGAGCAGCTGATCTGCGGGAGTCCAGAGACCCTCATGCTTCCTGCAGATGTGCTGTCAGCAGATCCTGAACTTGGGTTCCAGTGTTTTAAAGTGTTGTTTGCAAGCACCGCGGTCCTGCTCTCCCACTCACAGAACTACTATTGCTCACTGGTGAAGGACACTGGATTTAAAATCACAGACGTTCTTTTTCGCCTCTCGCTCATTATACATCCCTTTGAGGACACCGTCATTTTGCTGTTTAGGAGGAAGAAACAGGCAGAAGAGAACTCCTCCCATCCCTCCGCTAATGGCTTTTAAAACAGTCTTTTTTGTAATGGAACAACCAAACCTCACAATGAGCGTATATTGCTTGTGTGACCAGAAAGTAAGACAGTCCCCTGACACCTCAATTAAGTCATTTTGGTTGTCTACTCCAGACACCTCATGGCATCGTACTTCAAAATTCAGCTTTGTCATTTAGCAGTGTGTGGAGGTGCACACATTGCTAACCTCAGGCTCACTGAACACTGTTTTTTTTCTATGACGTGGATAATGGTGCCTGCGTCAGACACCTGTGATGTTTGAAAGAACCAGTTTATCAAAGTGCTTAGCCTGACGCCTGACACGCTGTGCACCCAAGATAAATGTTTGTTGTGTCATTCGATCTGTCGAGGAAGGAGGTGAGACACTTGTGGGTGGCAGGGCGGGAGGGGAGTACACAGGCTGTAAACAGCAGTGCCCAAGCTGAGACGGAGCAAGCTGGGAATCCGCCCGGGTTTCATTCAGTGTTCCACACCCCGCATGGATACTGGTTATACCTGTGATCAGTTATGCCTGTGATGGTTTTTTAGAAAACAAAACTATTTTATCACTCTGCTTTAAAGATGGCCGAGTGGAAAGACACAGTCCTGGAATGTTTAAATTCAAGCTGAAGAGCTTACTAGCCACGTGACTGAGCAAGTTATGGTTCCATCTTTCTAAGCCTCACTTCATTCTTTGTTAAGACAGGCCTCAGCATGCTGTTAGTAGGAATCTAAGGAACCCAGTGCTGATGGAGAAAGGGGTCCAGTCCAGACCCTAAGAGAGAGTTCTCGGATCTTGCGCAGGGAGGAACTCAAGGCAGTCGCAGAGTGCAGTGAGAGACAGCTGCTCTGATACAGAGTGGGGAGCCCGCGGAAAGCAGGAAGAAGAATGTGCCATCTTTGTTTCAAAGGCATCTTGTATCAATGTAAAAGCCAAGCTACGTGTAAGTGCAGGTGGGCTGGCAGTGTGACAAGATCTAGTACTTGGTGGATGTAAATAACGTTATCCTTGGCATTTCAGTGCGTAACTACATCTAAGCATGACTATAGCCATCTTTTTTTTTTTTTTTTTTTTTTTTTGAGATGGAGTCTTGCTCTGTTGCCCAGGCTGGAGTGCAGTGGCATGATCTCGGCTCACTGCAACCTCCGCCTCCCAGGTTCAGGCAATTCTCCTGCCTCAGCCTCCCACGTAGCTGGGATTACAGGCTACTGTAACTGCCAATCAGGTTCATGTTGCCTACACAGAGCTGATTTATCCAAACAGGTGAACTGCATAGAGAAAGAATAATCCACACAGAGCTGGCTGTGCGGGAGACCAGAGTTTTATTATTACTCAAATCAATTTCCCCAAGAATTCGGAGTTCAGAGTTTTTGCTGTTGTTTTTGAGATGGAGTCTTGCTCTGTTGCCCAGGCTGGAGTGCAGTGGTGCGATTTCAGCACACTGCAACCTCCGCCTTCAGGGTTCAAGCAATTCTCCTGCCTCAGGCTCCCAAGTAGTTGGCATTACAGGCGTGCACCACCACGCCTGGCTAATTTTTGTATTTTTAGTAGAGACGGGGTTTTGCCATGTTGGCCAGGCTGGTCTTGAACTTCTGACCTCAAGTGATCCGCCTGCCTCGGCCTCCCAGAGTCCTGGGATTACAGGTGTGAGCCACCGTGCCCAGCCCTGGAGTTCAGAGTTTTTAAGGATAATTTGGTAGGTAGGGGGCCAGTAAGCTGGGAGCACTGAGGGGTCAGATCAGAGATGAAATCGTATGGATCAAAGCTGTCCTCTTGGCCTGAGCCGGTTGCTGAGTGCGGGCCACAAGATCAGATGAGCCAGTTTATCCATCTGGATGGTCCCAGCTAATTCAGCAAGTGCAAGGTCTGCAAAATATCTCAAGCACTGTTGTTAGGTTTTTCAATAGTGATGTTATCCCCAGGAGCAATTTAGGGAGGGTCAGAATCTTGTAATCTCCAGCTGCATGAATTCTAAACCATAATTTCTAATCTTGTGGCTAATTTGTTAGTCCTACAAAGGCAGTCTAGTCTCCAGACAAGAAAAGGATTTGTTTCGGGAAACCATAAACTAAGTTTCTTCCAAAGTTAGTTTGGCCTACACCCAGGAATGAACAAGGACAGTTTGGAGGTTAAAAGTAGGATGGAGTTGGTTAGGTCAGATCTCTCACTGTCTCAGTTATAATTTTGCAATGGTGGTTTCACTGGTTTTAAGATGGAGTTTATTTTATTTTATTTTTATTTTTTTGAGACAGAGTTTCATTCTTGTTGCCCAGGCTAGAGTGCCATGGCGTGATCTCAGCTCACTGCAACCTCTGCCTCCTGGGTTCAAGCAATTCTGCTTCAGCCTCCTGAGTAGCTGAGATTACAGGTGCCCACCACCACACCCGGCTAATTTTTTTCTCCCAAACTGCTGGGATTACAGGCTTGAGCCACCGCGCCCGCCAAGATGGGTTGTTGATTTTAAAACGATGTCACCCTGGCTCTCCTAGGTTCCTGTTCCCCTAACATCATGAAGGCTGCTGGCAGTTCTCTGGCCTCCAGGGAGGCCTCCACACACATTTACCCATGTTCTTAGACAATCCTAGGGACTCAAGGCTTCAACAAACCTAAATGAGCCAGCAGAAAAATAAACTTGAACATGAATGTCAACGTTTTCCCACATGTACTAAAGGGTTATAATAATTTTGAAATGTTTATTTCAAAGAGCGTTGGTAATTTAAACGTCCTATTTAATCCCCAAAACAGTCCTGAGGGGGAGATAAGGCAGTTATCTTCATAGTACAGGAAAGGAAAAAAGCGAGGGTCCAAGGCCGACTATACCCTCAGCTCCATTAGCCCCCGAGGCCTCCCTGACAGGCGGGGCGGACAATCCCAGTGCAGATGCTCTGTATCGATCGCATGCTATCGGTTCTTTCAAGGAACGTGTATTGATCATCAATTAAGTGGTGAGTACTCCTCTAGATGTCGATTCTAAAGAGGGAACAAAACACATTAGACAGAAGAAACATAAGTAACTCGAATAACAACCTTAGAGAGAAGAAACATAAGTAACTCGAATAACAACCTTAGCAAACTGCGGAAACTCCTACAGACAAAAACTCAGGTGTGGGCGCAGAAGGGCCGGGGATGCGCTCGGTCAAGACTTGAAGGTCCGGGGCTTGGGCCCTGTGTCCTCACCGAGCCCCGGGGAGGCTCCGGCTCCGTCCACACCCGGAGCGCGACTCAGCCGCGGCCGGGGCTCTTCTGGAGAACGGCGCGGTCAGGCTCTGCCGCAGCTTTCAGGTCCCCTCGGCCCCGTCCGGGTGCAGCGCAACCAGGCTGCCCGCGGAGCCCCACCGCCCCCATGCCGCCGCCCGCCATGGTTCAGCCCGGCCCCGCCCCTCCCGCCGGCCGTGGTTCAGCGCGTCCACCCCGCCGCCCCACAGCGCCCGCCGCGCCGCGCCCCGCCCCCCGCCGCGCCCCGCCCCCCGCCGCGCCCCGCCCCCCGCCGCGCCCCGCCCCCCGCCGCGCCCCGCCCCCCGCCGCGCCCCGCCCCCCGCCGCGCCCCGCCCCCCGCCGCGCCCCGCCCCCCGCCGCGCCCCGCCCCCCGCCGCGCCCCGCCCCCCGCCGCGCCCCGCCCCCCGCCGCGCCCCGCCCCCCGCCGCGCCCCGCCCCCCGCGCCGCGCCCCGCCCCCCGCCGCGCCCCTCCCGCGCCCGCCGCCCCGCCCCTCCCGCGCCCGCCGCCGTCGTAGCGCCTAGGCGGGGCCTCTCGTAGCGACGCCCCCAGGGGGGCAGAACGCGTGCGCACGCGCGTGCGAACGCGCGTGCGCGGGCGGTGTTTGAGGCCGGCCAGTCGTGACTGGGCGGCAATGAGGTCAGTGACTGCCGGGAGTCCTGCAGGGGCGGGGCGGCGCCAAGCGCAGGGAGCCCGGCTGAGTGGCAGCCCAGGTGAGCGCTCAGGGAGCCCGGGTGAGGGCCGGGAACCCAGGTGAGGGGCAGCCCAGGTGAGCGCGCGGGGTGCCCGGGTTAGGGGCCGGGAACCCAGGTGAGGGGCAGCCCAGGTGAGCGCGCGTGGAGCCCAGGCGAGGGGGCTGGGAAGCCCGGGTGAGGGGACCGGGGATCCCAGGTGAGGGGCCGGGAACTCAGCTGAGGGGGAACCCAGATGGGCGCGCGGGAGCCCACGTGAGGGGGAGCCCGGGTGAGGGGCCGGGGTGGCTCCTGGCGTCCGCGGTCCCAGCCCTGCCTTCCGGTGGGCGTGCGGCACCCCGGGCCGTGCGGTTCCCGGACAGCAGCTTGTGGGGGACTTTCGAGCCCCGCAGCCCGGGGTCCTGCCTGCGCGGGTTGGGCGTGGGGGGCTCCTCACCGCGACGCTGACTTTGGAGTCCTTGAGCGGCGCGGATGCCGGACGGAGGGAGGGGACAGGCGGAGGCGGAGGCGGCGCCGTCGCCCCTGACCTCGCTTCCCTCAGACCGGCTGGGCAAGTACGGTCAGCTCACCTGTGTGCCCACGAGGCGGGGAGGCGGCTCCTGCAGAGCCACAGAGGTGCCGTCGGAGCTGCTGTCAAGGACAGCAGGTGTCACGTGGGTGTGGCCTCCACTGGTCACCGAGTTAGCTGGGGCGGAAGGGGACAAGGTGCAGCTCAACATGGTGTGGGAGGCGGAGGGACGCTGGGTCAGTCAGAACCTGTAGGAGCGGGGAGGGACGCTGGGTAAGGTCACCAAAGTGTGCGGGGGAGAGAGCGGGCGCTGGGTCAGGTCAGCAGGAGGTGGGACCCGCCTGGGCTCTGGGCCCTATAGCCAGCTGCTCTAGGTTGGGGTTGGGTGTGGACAGTAGGGAGGGGAGCCAGGGGCTCCCCAGCCTGTGTAGATTCTGCTGTAAGTGACTCTTCTCTGAAAGACTGGCGCGAGGCGGCTGCTTCTGACTCCTGTTTCAGTTTACCCTCTGTGTGAAATCTGTAACTATCCAGCTTCTGCTTACCTCACTCCCGTATTTTGATTTTTATTTACATACAACTTTTCAGGAAGGTTGTGAGAGGAAAGAGCAATGGTGCAGGAAGTGTGAGTGATTGAGGGAATATGAGATGGCCACAGCTCCCCACTGAGCTTGAACACTTCTGTGCCTCACTTTCAGATTGGCCGTCATGGAGGCTGTGGTTGTTAAGGAAGTTCTTCCTGAGCATCCAGTTTCCATACAAAGAGCACAGGTTCTCTAGGTGGCCTCAGAGATGTTCAATACACAATGTCTTCTGATAACGAGGAACTGGGCAAAAGCCTGGTAGGACACCGGGTAGGTAAATGGTGGAGTCCCTGCAACCGTGTTGCAGAGGAGGATTAGCTGTTGCTGAGAGAAGAGAAGCAGGCCGGGGAGCAGCTTGTATACTGTTATCCCCTTTTATGTAAAAAGAAGAGTTTATATCTAGAAAAACAATTGACCCAGCAGGCACCAAAAAATAGTGATGGTGCTTGGAGCTGTGTAAGAGGATTGTAAATTTTTATTTTTGTATTTTTATGCTTGTTTATATTTTCTGAATTTTGTGTATTAAACATGTATTTCTGTTGATTTTGGAAAACATTTTTACAACCCATCAATGTATAATTTTCAAAATGTTAGAAGTATAATTCTCATGTAAATAGCTCTTGTCAGGTTATATTTCAGTCATTAATGCAGTATACAGCAGGATAGGAATGTCAGTTCAAAAGAGAATACACAAAACTAGGATTTTCTTAGTGAGTGGGTAACAGGAATGCTGAGAGAAGATTGCCAGATTAGATAATAAGATTGGTGAATATCCTGTGTGCATTGAAACCACAGCCTTTGGGATTGTCTTTTCTTCTTGATGGAAAGGAGAATTAGCTTTGCAGATTGTAAAATGCGTGACCCACAATCAGTGGTAAATAGTTTAGTTATTTCTCCTAGAAAGTCAAGTGATTGTTGGGGTTGTAAAACACTGAACTTGCGTTAGCAGGGAAAAAAGCATGCAACCTTTTTTTTCCCTTTTGACGTCACTTCCAAGTTTGGATAAATTATCTCAATGAAAAACAAAAATGCTGGTATCCATAGCAGTTTAGCCCCCATAAACCGGAGGAGCGCATAGATGCATGACAGAGTCGAAGGGTTCCAGTGGCCACTGAGCCTGGTTCCTGGTCACACTGCAGCAACAGAGCTAACACTCTTACTGATGTGTTTGCATTCAGATTTTTAAAAAACTTCATGGCCCAGTGCAATAGAAGAGCTGAAACCACAGAATCTTATAAGACAAGCTTTTTGTATACATTTTCTCCAAAGAAAATGAAGATCTGCAGCGTCAAGAGATGGTGGCCTTCCAGGAGTTGTTTATTCTCCGGCTCCACTTCCTCTACTGCAGAGAGGAAAGGGGCTGGTGTGGAAGGGCTTGGAAGCCTTCCAGAATGAAAGAACCAGATGAGTCCATTAGGTTCGGCCTCCAGTTTTTTGTTTTTTTTTTTTTTTTTGAGACGGAGCCTCACTCTGTCACCCAGGCTGGAGTGCAGTGGCGCTATCTCAGCTCACTGCACGTTCCGCCTTCCAGGTTCCCGCCATTCTCCTGCCTCAGCCTCCCGAGTAGCTGGGACTACAGGCGCTCGCCATCACGCCTGGCTATTTTTTTTTTGTATTTTAGTAGAGACAAGGTTTCACCATGTTAGCCAGGATGGTCTCGATCTCCTGACCTCGTGATCCTCCCACCTTGGGCTCCCAAAGTGCTGGGATTACAGGTGTGAGCCACCCTGCCCGGCCGATTCGGCCTCCAGTTTTACCCATGGAAGGAACAGTGACTTCCAGCTGTGCATTACACTTAAGGACTCCTTCATGTGGCCTGAGCCTTATGGTGCACAGCAAGGGAACAGTGGGAACCCCTGTGTCCCATTTTGCGTATCAAGAGTGAGAGGGTGTGGTTGGGTCAAGGAGCAGAAATAGAAGCAAAAGGAGAAGCTGAGCTCTTCCCATACCCCTTCTGTGCTGCCTGACAGAACAAGGCCTAGCCACACTTCTGTGGGTGCCCACCTTGTGACTTGGGGTGAACCACAGCTGTTCTCAGTACAACGCTGATGCCACGAAAGGACAGCAGAGCTCTGCAGGACTCCAGGAAGACTGGGCGCTTGGGCTGGATCCTGCCTCTGGGACTGGCCTTCTACCCTCATGGCTGAGAGAGCTGAGGAGTTCACCTCCTTTGTGAACTCCTGGCTGGAGGATGCTGGTTGGCATTAACTAAACTCAGAGACCCACAGTAACGAGTTAGACTAGAACAGCACCAGCTTACCCAGAAAGTCAGGAGGTTTGAGCAAAGAATCAGAATGGGGGATTCACTACAGGACTGGAAGGGGAAGTAAGCATTCTGGTCTTTATAATCTGCTGTTTCTGCATCCCTAATTGGCACCTGTTCTCTGACTGCCAGGAGGGTTTGCCCACTCAGCTGTGGCTTACCTGTTTCTGTTTCCATGTCTTTCACCTATCTGCCACTTTTCTGTAGATATGGTAATCTCTCCAAAAAGATATCTAGAAAGCTTGAAGACCTGGTAGCTATTTGCTCTTATGGTGAAGATCACACAAACTAGTTGAACATCTGGCTTGTAGTAGGTGCTTCATTTCCCGCTGCTCTGTATGTTTCTTTCTTTTTTTTTTTTTTTTTTTTTTTTGAGACGGGGTCTCATCTTGTCACCCAGGCTGGAGTGCAGTGGCGCAATCTCAGCTCACTGCCACCTCCACCTCCCGGGTTCAAGCGATTCTCCTGCCTCAGCCTCCCAAGTAGCTGGGATCACAGGCATGTACCACCACGCCCAGCTAATTTTTTGTATCTCTAATAGAGTCGAGGTTTGACCATGTTGGCCAGGCTGGTCTCGAACTTCTGACCTTGTGATGCACCTGCCTTGGCATCCCAAAGTGCTGGGATTACAGGCGTGCGCCACTGCACTCGGCCTGCTCTGTGTATTTCTTTTTCCTGTAGTCAGATTCTGGGGTCCAGGGTGGTTAGGAAAGAAACTTGTTTTCTTTCTTTCTTTTTTTTTTTGAGATGGAGTTTTGCTCTGTTGCCCAGGTTGAAGTGCAGTTGTGTGATCTCGGCTCACTGCAACCTCCACCCTCCTGGGTTCCAGAAATTCTCCTGCCTCAGCCTCCTGAGTAGCTCAAATTACAGGTGCGCACCACCACGCCTGGCTGATTTTTGTATTTTTAGTAGAGGCAGGGTTTTGCCGTGTTGGCCAGGTTGGTCTTGAACTCCTGACCTCAAGTGATTCACCCACCTTGGCTTCCCAAAGTGCTGGGATTACAGGTGTGAGCCACCACACCCAGCCTGAAACTTGGTTTCTTAGCTCCTAAATAGTGAAATCAAGATCAGAGCCCACTAAGCCAGCCGCTCTTCTTGGTTTTTGGTTCTCATGTCCTGGAGTCCCTCTCACCTTGACCAAACCAAAGACCTCCTGAAGCATCACTTGGGCTCACCACTTCCACTGAGGTGGATTTGAGTCATTGATCTGGGCAGAGCCTTCTGGAGTCGGGGTTTCTCTCGTCTCAAGGCAGAGGTCCTACAGAAGTTAGTGGTCTTGGCCAAGCGGACATTGATGCAACTGTGGCAAAATGGGACCTATAAGTCAGAGCTGATGACCTACTCGTGGAAAAGTACAGGGAGAAGTTTTACGAGGGGTCCATATTTTAACCTTTAACAGTGTTGTTCACGTTAACCCTTGTAATGGATGCTATTCCTTGCCTGATACCTGTCCTTTCCACCCAGCCTGCTTTTCTTTAATGCTGGTAAGCGGTCTCCCCTCCAGGCATTAGGCTGCACTTGAAGTTGATCTGCTCCTGTGAAGTGCATAGGGGTTCAACGATGCCTTGCTGCACACTGAATACCAGAGCCGAGTGCTCTTGCCAGCCCCTTAATACCATGTTCAACCTGATTTGTCAACAGGTTAACAGAAATGTGTTTGGAGATGTGTAAGTACACTGGAGTCTTGATATATAGCATGACCAGAAGTGTGGGTCACGAGGGCACACATGGGCATGGCAGCCCCTCAGTTGTCATCCATAGCATCTATCAGAGAGCACGCCTGTGTGCCCTGAACTCACGCACCAGGGGCAGCATGACACGGGAGCCGTTTCTCTAGGGAGAAACATGAGTACCAGTGCTGTCTTTCCCCACATCAGATTTGTGTTCAAACAGAGCTAGTCTGTGTTAAAGCTGGAGTGTTAATGGAGAAACAGACAAACTCTTGTACTATTTTGCCTTTGATTATAGACCATTATCAAAGCAAGAGGTTAGGAGTGATCAGTGCTCCCTTGTCATTTGCATCAGGTCCCAGGACTCACATTCTTTGCATGCTTGTGTGAGCTAGTGTTTTCCATGTCCTTGGGGTGTGGTCACAGCGACCTTTTTGCCTGAATAATGATTGGCAAGTTTTTGCTGAATGGCCACAGTGAATGGCTCCTCCTATGCTTCTGGCTCTAGTCCTGCTGTCTCACAATTGAGTCAATTCTGGGGTCTCTTCCGGAGAGCAGAGGGTCCAGCTGCGTGGGGAGTGTGGTGTTCCCAGCCCTGCTGTCTGTTCGCTGGGTGTGAGTGACAAGAGTCCCCACTCCCTGCAGAAATTCCATTACCTGGACAAGTCCCTGCACACTGGGTGAGGGGGGACCAGGCGGGGACCTGAGTCTTTGTCGGTAGCCGTTCCTATGTCATCGTTGTGTGCCTGGGTTTCCTGCCGTGTAAAAGGAAAGGCTGGAATCAATCACACGTCCCTTCCAGTTTTTCAAGAACTTGAGACTCTGGTGTTTGTAGCTTTGCAGACAGGTTCAGGCTTAGGTAAAGTGGACCCTTTCAGCATGATTCAGCATCTGTTCATGTGTTCCATAAATGTTTCTTGAGGGCCCACTGTGGACCCAGTGCTGCATCAGGCAGAGGAGATGCTGTGATGGAAGGCAGGTGTGGTCTGTGCCCTCACAGAGCTTGCTGTCCAGTGGAGGTGAGGATTCAGTAAGCACTTGTCCTATGTGCACCCCACCAGCAAGTCTCCCGCCTTCACAGCAGTCCCAATCAGTCACACAATTCAGGCATCGCAGGATGAAACATATTTAAGTCATTACACTGGGATACACTTTGTTACAGCACTGAACTTCTGCTGTTTGATCCTAGTTAACACCCCAAACACCAAAAATGAGTGTTTGGGGTATGCATCAGGAGCTTGTAGCAAAGGTACTTAACCCAGTCCATGGGTCTCCCCTACTCTGGGAGGGCATCTGGAGCAAATGGCCTTTAAGTGAGGACCTGACAGGTAAGATGATGCCAACTTGGGGAAGGTAAAGACTTTTCCAGGAGAGGGCCCAGCAGCTGCAGAGACCCAGAGGTGCAGGAGAGTGTGATGTTTTCAAAGGACTGGAAGGTTATAGCATGGAGTGAGATGCAGGGGATGGTGAGAGTGGAACCAGAGAAGGTATAATTGATAATCACATTCTGCAGAGTGCCGTAGGTCACAGTGAGGAGTTCAGGCCTTCCCTGCTGCTGTTGAGAAGGCATTCCATGGCCTTAACCAAGGAATAACATGAAGAACAGGAGCACAGGTTTTCGTGACATCCTTGGGGTGTTAACTAGGATCAAACAGCAGAAGTTCAGTGCTGTAACAAAGTGTATCCCAGTGTAATGACTTAAATATGTTTCATCCTGCGATGCCTGAATTGTGTGACTGATTGGGACTGCTGTGAAGGCGGGAGACTTGCTGGTGGGGTGCACATAGGACGAGCATAGGACCGTGTGTTCCTGCCAGCACGGCTCCGGCCTCCTGTTCGTGGCTGGACCGCTCTAGCTTTAGTTTCATTTTCTTTCCTCCTATACTGTCAGTGGATGTTACCTTGGTATGTTTATGCACCCTTGTAAGTTCATTAAGAATAAGGTACAGAATTAAATATTTTGTAGTTTAATGTTTGCGTTACTGGGGTAGTGATGTGTCCTTGTTTCTATCGAGTCAACACAAAATGAATGATCTTTCTTTTAGATTGAAGATGGATACGTGACAATCCCAGGGACCGCTGCACTGACTTCATTTCCTTAGACAAGACACAGTGTAGGGCCCGGCCCGTGTTGGCCCCAGGACTCCTTTGGAATATAGCTGTGGACAATGAATCCTGCGAGCGATGGGGGCACATCAGAGAGCATTTTTGACCTGGACTATGCATCCTGGGGGATCCGCTCCACGCTGATGGTCGCTGGCTTTGTCTTCTACTTGGGCGTCTTTGTGGTCTGCCACCAGCTGTCCTCTTCCCTGAATGCCACTTACCGTTCTTTGGTGGCCAGAGAGAAGGTCTTCTGGGACCTGGCGGCCACGCGTGCAGTCTTTGGTGTTCAGAGCACAGCCGCAGGCCTGTGGGCTCTGCTGGGGGACCCTGTGCTGCATGCCGACAAGGCGCGTGGCCAGCAGAACTGGTGCTGGTTTCACATCACGACAGCAACGGGATTCTTTTGCTTTGAAAATGTTGCAGTCCACCTGTCCAACTTGATCTTCCGGACATTTGACTTGTTTCTGGTTATCCACCATCTCTTTGCCTTTCTTGGGTTTCTTGGCTGCTTGGTCAATCTCCAAGCTGGCCACTATCTAGCTATGACCACGTTGCTCCTGGAGATGAGCACGCCCTTTACCTGCGTTTCCTGGATGCTCTTAAAGGTAAGTGCATGCATCAGCAGAAGATGACATGTGCCTCACGCATTTAATCACTGGCTACAATGTCCTGGACGCTGCCATAAACTCAACAGCAGGCTGGATTGCAGCACACACATTCAGTTACAAACTCATTTTAGTTGAATGCAATATTCTGGTTTTGTTTATTTATTTATTTATTTTGAGACGGATTCTGGCTCTCGTCCAGGCTGGAGGCAATTTTCTTAATTTTAAGTCTTTTAGGCTTTCTCTTCCTTAAGGAAAGAAAGCTCAGTAGATTTTATGGCTCAGTAGATAGCGTCTGGAAGCACTTAATTTTTTCCTTTCTTTTAATACTATATTTATTTATTTATTTATTTTTTGAGACGGAGCCTCACTCTGTCGCCCAGGCTGGAGTACAATGGCATGGTTTCGGCTCACTGCAACCTCCGCCTCCTGGGTTCAAGTGATTCTCCTGCGTCAGCCTCCCTAGTAGCTAGGACTACAGGTGCGCACCACCACACCTGGCTACCTTTTTTGTCTTTTTAGTAGAGATGGGGTTTCACTATGTTGGTCAGGCTGGTCTTGAACTCCTGACCTTGTGGTCCGCCTGCCTGGGCCTCCCAAAGTGCTGGAATTACAAATGTGAGCCACCGTGCCTGGCCTCTTTTAATACTTTAGAAAAACTGAAGTAATATCTGTGCGTACACACATACCTTGCTTGCTTTTTATTTTTGAATAAGGTTGTTGTACTAGTGCTCAGAAGTGTTGGGACCTAGCATAGTTATTTGCCTAGCACTTTCTTTCTGTTTTTGAAGAACATGTTTTAAAAATATTTGTCACTTGATTGTCATATTGATGTCAAAATGTTCTTCATGTTAAACTCTTTAAACTTTTTTTCCTTTTGAGACGGAATCTTGCTCTGTTGCCCAGGCTGGAGTGCAGTGGCATGATCTTGGCTCACTGCAACCTCCGCCACCCGGATTCAAGCAATTCTCTTGCCTCAGCCTCCCAAGTAGCTGGGATTACAGCGCCCACCACCACGCCTAGCTAATTTGTGTGTGTGTGTGTGTGTGTGTGTGTATTTTTAGTAGAGACGGAGTTTCACTGTGTTGGCCAGGCTGGTCTTGAACTCCTGACCTCAGGTGATCTCCCCGCCTTGGCCTCCCAAAATGCTGGGATTACAGGCATGAGCCACCGTGCACAGCCTTAAAATTGTTTTTACATAGATTCTTGCTATCTTTTATGACCCATCACATTGTTTATGGGATATTTGATATGAAATTTGAGATCCTGCAAATGTTCAGCCATTCACACAAATGGGTCATGTTACTGCACATTTCTTGTCTACAGGAGACTGGTAGCCTCGAGAGGAAAAATAAGCATAACAAATCACTCCTGCCTTCGGGGTCGAGGTGGGTAGATGATATCAGTCCATCAAAAGTGCACTGCAGTGTAAACAGTACAGACTGTTCATGCATAACCACCATGGACACCAGCCGGGTGTCAGATACTGTGCTGGCACCTGGGAACTCAAGGAGGAACTTGTGTTCCTGGTGTCCCCTGAGGTTGGCCCCATCTGGCACCAGATGGGGTGTGTGAGCACAGTGACAGGAAAGTGCAGAGAAACCATGGCCCCAGATGCGGACCCTCTGCAGGAGGAGCAGGTGAGCACCTCGGAGTTAAGGCAAGTGAATGAGGGTGAGTGAGGCACAGTCGTCGCCAGTACAGAGCCTCACAGGGTGGCCATGGAAGTAGATGGAGCCTATGGCAGGCGATACTGGAGACATCCTGGTGAGTGCGTGGTTTGGGCGGTGGCAGGAGGAGGTTGGGGGCCGGTGTGATTTGGGTAGAACTTACCAAGGAAGAAGGGTTGGAACCATGAATAGTTTGAAAGAGCCCCTCCGGTGACCTGGCTACTGAGTTCCCTTGGCGAGCAAATGACTGAATATGAAGCTGCTGGTCTAAGTGTGGGTCATTTTGGGAACGATGCTGTGACCTGGGACCCCATCAGCATCCTGTACGCAGCTTGCAGTTTTCCAGTTTTCTCTTTGTGGGCGTTATTTCCATAAGAGTGCAGACTTCTGGGATGCAGGTCAGGGCTGTGACTTCCCTGGGTTTCTCTGGAGTGAGATCAGTGTGGAGTGGAGAGGTGTGTGCTGGAGGAAGAGGCCTTGGCCTGTGCTCCGCATTGCCTACTCCTCTCACCTGGAAACACCGGACTTCAGGAGTCACTCGGCTGTGGCAGAAAATAAAGTTCTTGAAAGGAAAGCAGAGGCGCTCACTCACATCGATGCCCTAAACATCAATACCACATCAATGTCCCAAGTGGTAAATAGTGACTAAATTATTAATACATCCCACAAGATGGTGTGCTTGAGGTCATTAGTGTATTTTGAGAAATAGATTAATAGTTATCTTGTATTTTATTTTTATTACAAGTTCTTTAAAAACAACAAGAAAGACGTGAGTCTTTCTGTCTCTCCAGTCCTCAGGGGAAAGCAGTGTTGGATTTCTCCAGGGTTTTATCTGTGCTTCTCCTGGAGCCAGGTGTGGGGACAGCGTCTCCAGCAGTTCTCCCTCCCCTGGTGTGGTGGTGGAGCCCAGCCTCCAGGAGGACAGACTCAGCGAGATTTTATTTTGAAGTTTGCACATTCTCTAAAGCTTTTAGGGTGCTGTTTGTGTAGAATGGAGAAAGGGTTATTTAAGTATTTACTTCTAACCCTGCTCATGTTAACTGTATAAAGCCAACAGACCCTAATAAGAGAAAATTATAACCTAAATTAATATAGCTCAGGGCCAGTATGTCTACATAGTTCTATTTTGCTCTAGTTGAAATACTAATAAATGCAGTAAGAAAACACTATGTCTAAAATGTTGAAATTCTTTGAAATTCTTTTAAAGCTGATAGATTCTTGCATAGTAGTAGGGCATGAGGATTCAACATTTCTCCCCCATCAAGGTCTGATTTGATCAGAACTAAAGGATGTAAAGACAAAATATTACCATCAATTTAGGATGGGGGTCTAAGTCAAGCACAGTGGCTTATTCTTCGTATTTCTGTCTTAGATTTGGTTCTACTATTTATCCACAGACTCACTAGTTCATAATACAAATGAGGTGATATAAAAGCACTGTCAGGCCAAGTGCGGTGGCTCACACCTGTAATCCCAGCACTTTGGGAGGCCAAGGCAGGCAGATCACTTGAGCCCGGGAGCTCAAGACCAGCAACATGGCAAAACCTCGTCTCCACAAAAAATACAAACATTAACTGGTCATAGTGGCACACGTCTGTAGTACCAGCCAATTGGGAGGCTAAGGTGGGAGGATCGCCTGGGAGTTCAAGGTTACAGTGAGCTGTGATTACGCCACTGCACTCCAGCCTGGGCAAGAGTGAGACCCTATCTCAAACAAAAACACAACCCGCTGTCAGTTTTTATATATTTTGTATATATACATGTGTGTGTATATATATGTATGTATACAGTCGACCTTCTGTATCCATGGGTTCTGTGTCTGGATTCAACCAACTGTGGATCAAAAATATTTGGGAAAAATTTAAAATAATATAACAATAAAAAATATAACAAATAAATACCAATAAAATGTAACAATTTTATATAGCATTTACATTGTATTAGGTATTATAAGTAATCTACAGATGATTTAAGGAGTAAGGGACAGTGTGCTTAGGTTATATGCACATACAAAGCCATTTTATATAAGGGACTTGAGCATCCGTGGCTTTGGGTATCTGCAGGGAGCCCAGGAACCAGTCCCCCAAGGATACTGAGGGTGACTGTATATTTAAGTATAGATGTAACTGCCGGGCTCCAGAGCTTTGCATGTGTTATGTCACAGATTTTGTTCCTGTAGATTTTGCTACTCTTCTCAAAGCCTTTGGTGACTTTGACTACAAAAATTTTAGTGCCTTAGTAAAACCAAAGAACTCTTCGGTTCTCAAGCTTTGAGTTTTCTAAACTTAAGGTAGTGATTGCATTCTGATATTACTATTGGTAATTTAAGATGACTACTTTCAGTAAGTGAGGAAAATGGTGGAGGAGAACTTTTTGTGAATTGTGAGGGAATGGTGAGTGAATAAAGACTGAGCTCGCGAGAGTCTGGGGCTGAGTGCACAGTGTACTGTACAGTTCATCACTGTGTGGGGCCTTCCAGCTACTGTAGAGGATTCTGATGTTCAGAACATCGACTCTTCAGTGTTTTGTCTTCAGACACACACTCTTTTCACTCCTGTTGATACTGTACGCTCTCTTGAGGAGCAATGAGCACTCTTGCAGGCCCTGTGCCAGGTGCCGGGTCATAACAAAGACGATTCTCAGTCTTCCGTAAGTGGGAATCTGTGGGAGGCACATATGCATGTGGTGCGGCACACACGACAGAAGATTCTGGAAGCTGAATCTGTGAGGGGCACACGTGTGTGGTGGTGCTCCAGCACACACGATAGAAGATTCTGCAAGCTGAGTCTGTGAGGGGCACACGTGGGTGGTGGTGCTCCACACACATGATGACAGAAGATTCTGGAAGCTGGAATCTGTGAGGGGCACACATGCGTGGCAGTGCCCCGGCACACAAATGATGACAAAAGATTTTGGAAGCTGGAATCTGTCAGGGGGATACTTGCATGTGACTGTGCTTCTGTTCACAGAGAAGGTTCTGGAAGCTGGAATCTGTGAGGGGCAGCTGTATGTGTGGTAATGCTCCAGTACACATGTGATGACAGAAGGTTCTGGAAGGTGAACTCTGTGAGGGTTGGGTATGCATGTGGCCCCGCTCCTGTACACACACATGTGATAACAGAAGGTTCTGGAAGGTGAAATCTGTGAGGGTTGGATATGCATGTGGCCCTGCTCCAATATACACACATGATGATAGAAGGTTCTGGAAGGTGAAATCTGTGCGGGCAGATGTGTGTGTGGCCTTGCTCCAGTACACACACACACGTGATGACAGAAGGTTCTGGAATCTGGACTCTGTGAGGGGCGCACGTTTGTGTAGCGATGCTGCAGTCCATTGCGTGGCAGAAGGAGCATTGTCTTTCCTTTGGTTTTTGTCAGCTCTTTGTTTACTTGATAAATGCTTGAGTGTCTTCAGTTTGATAACTAGCAAAGGAAAACAGCGTGTGAGACTTCTGGTGTCCTTGCGGCTCCATGCATAGGTCTGTGCCTGACTGCAGTGCACCCACATGTTCACTCGAACAGGGGTACTTGGATTGTCTTAGCCACGCTGTTCATTTGGCCTCAGACTGAGTCCTACTGAAGTCCCATCATCAGTGGAAAGGGCTTGTGAGCTGAGTTTGTCCACGCAGCAGAAGGGTGGGCAGCAGTCTGGATGGTTTACACAGACACGGTGAGAGACGTTACCCGGACGCAAAAGAGTACACAGCGTGTGATACCGTTCCATGTACAGTCATACGTTGCTTAACGACGGGCTGTGTTCTGAGAAATGTGTCCTTAGGCTATTTTGTCATCGAGTGGCCGTCATAGAGTACCTTTCTACATGTCTAAGCCAACTCCACACTCGGCTCTATGCGACAAAGCCCATTGTTCCCAGGCTGCATACCTGTACAGCATATGGCTGTACTGAATACTGTAGGCAAGTGTAACACAACTGTAAATATTTGTGTATCTAAACATACCTAAACATAGAAAGGTATAGTAAAAATACCATGTTAAAGATGAAAAATGGCACACCTGTGCAGGGCGTTCACTGGGAATGGAGCTTGCAGGACTGGAAGCTGCTCTGCGAGAGTCACAATGAGTGGTGAGTGTGAGGGCCTAGAACGTCACTGTACTCTCCTATAGACTTTATGAACTCTGTGTACTTAAGCAATGCTAAATTTATATAAAAAAATTTCTTTAATCATAAAGTAACCTTAACTTACTGTAACATTTTTACTTTATAAATTTTTAATTTTTTAAACTTTTCCACTCTTTTGTAATAACACTTAGCTTAAAACACAAATACATTGTGTGTATATATATATATTCTTTATACCCTTATTCTGTAAGCTTTTCTTAATTTTCGAAACTTTTTTTTAAATTGTTGAAATCTAAGATGCAAATACACATTCATCCAGCCCTGCACAGGGTCAGGATCATCCATATCACTGTCTTCCACCTCCACACCTTGTCCCACTGGAGAGACTTCAGGGGCAGTAACAGACATGGGGCTGCTACCTCCTATGGTGACAGTGCCTTCTTCTGGACCCTCCTGAAAGACCTGCCTGGGGCTGTTTATAGTTAACTTTATTTTCATCAGAGAAGGAGTACACTCCAAGATAATGATAAAAAGTATAGTATAGTAAAATAGTAAATGATAGGAATTGTTCAGCTCCATTATAATCTTGTGTGGAACCACTGTCTATACACTGTGCGTTGTTGACTGAAATAAAGGCGCTGAGCCCTGGGCACTGCTGTAGGTGCAGTTGTCCAGCCTCACCTGGGTGTGGGCCCACCTGGTACTGCCGCTATGGGTCTGAGGGAGGTGTGAGATCGAAAACTTGCCTGTGCCAAAGTCCAGCATTGTCCTTCACCACTTATGGACCTGGTGGTTGTGGCCAGTTGTCAGAGTGACTATACTGTTTACCACCCAGACAAGGATGTCAGGGACTGCCCCAGGCAAACCAGGATCTGCAGTCACCCCAGGGTCTGAGAACCAGCTATATTTGTGACTTTTGCTTTGGACATATCAAAAACCTCCAAGAACTTGTAGCCTAACTCTATAATTTCACAAGTAAGAAATAAGTTATAGTATTAACTCTTCACATTTCATTTCAATCCCATGTCACTTAACCATCCGGAACTGACAGCCATAGGTTCTTCTGGTCTGTGGGTTTCTCCCCTGTCCCATTCAGTTTGGAGGCTCCAGGCTTGTTTTGGATCCTGCTTCCTCTGCTCTTCTTCCTGAGTGTTCACTGTGCCTCAGCAATGCTGAGTGCGGTGAAGCATGTGGTCCTGGCCCACCTTGAGGTGGCCCCAACCACAGGTGGGAGTGTTTCATTTGCACCTGGGGTTGGGGTGAACTAAGTGCTTGGTATGTTTGTGGAAAGCCGCACTGGCGGTCTCTGAAGGCGTGTGTGTGCATGAGGGTGCCGTGATGCACATGCGAGAGCCCTGAGGTCCCCTCTGAGACCTGGGAAGGACTCCCGTGACAGTTGTATGAGGCAGGCTGGGTTACTCCATTCCGCTGGCCTTTCTCTTCTAATTGTCCTCACATTAATTTTTTCAGTCCAGACTTAGAATAGATGCTCTTTGACTCAGGATGGGGTTACATCCCAATAAGCCCACCATAAGTTAAAAATATTGTGTCAGAAATGTGCAGCCTCCCGAACATCATGGTATATAGCCTGGCCTGCCTTTAACATGCCCAGAAGACTTGGATCAGCCTACGTTTGAGCAAAATCATATAGCACAAAGCCTGTTTTACAACAGAATGCTGAACAGCTCATGTAATTCAGTGAATGCTCTACTGAAAGTTGAAACAATGGTTGTGTGGGTACTTGAAGTACAGTTTCTACTGAGTGTGTATCATCTTTGCACCATAAAATCAAACAATTGTAAGTCAAACCATTGTGAGTAGGGGACTGTCTATAACAGCTAATATACCTGGGGCTTTAAATATTCAAAAACACCAGAAGAACGTGTTAGAATTTTTTATTTTATTTTATTTTTTTGAGACAGTCTTGCTCTTTCTCCAGACTAGATTGCAGTGGCACGATCTCAGCTCAGTGCAGTCTCTGCCTCCCAGGTTCAAATGATTCTCATGACTCAGCTTCCCAAATTAGCTGGGATTACATGGTGCGCCACCATGCCTGGCTAATTTTTTTGTATTTTTATTAGAAATGGGGCTTCGCCATGTTGGCCAGGCTGGTCTCAAACTTCTGACTTCAAGTGATCTACCCACTTCGGCCTCCCAAAGTGCTGGGATTATAGGCGTGAGCCACCGTGCCTGGCCCAAGTTAGAATATTTTGCCGGGGAGGTATACTGTATTAGTCAGCTCAGGCTGCCACAGCAGACTGCCATAGACTAGGCAGCTGGAATAGCAGAAATTCCTTTCTCACAGTTTTGGAGGCTGCAAGTCTGAGATCAAGGCACCAGCAGATTCATGTCTGGTGAAGACCCACTTCCTGGTTTACATGGCCACCTTCTGGCTGTGTCCTAGCATGGAGGAGGGGAAGGCTCTGGTCTCTTTCTCTTCTTATGACACTAATCTCATCATGGGGCCTTACCCCCATGACCTCATCACTTCCCAGGGTCTAGGTATGGGAGCTTGATATACCTGTGTCTGGTTTTGCCAAATAAGTATTGTTTATTTACTTAATATGAGAAAATTCAAGATAAAACAAAGATTGAAGGGATACTGAAAGAAAGGTTGAATTTATCATAGCTTTAGGGAGCAGAAGCCAAAGAGCAAGAGGAGCAGGAAAACAGCATGAGCGGGCAAGGGTCAGCCCTGCTGGCCCAGGTGCGCCCACAGAGCTGGTGGCCTCCTTTCAGAATGAAGTCCCAATGAGAGCAGAGCCCTGGGGAGGAAATTCTTTTGCTTTGAAATGAATTTGTTTTGTTTGGTAAGTAAGGTAGCAAATACCTTTTTGTGATGTGAAGAATGAATTTTGGCAGTTTCGCATTGACTTGTGCATTTGTCTTCTCTCCATGCAGGCGGGCTGGTCCGAGTCTCTGTTTTGGAAGCTCAACCAGTGGCTGATGATTCACATGTTTCACTGCCGCATGGTTCTAACCTACCACATGTGGTGGGTGTGTTTCTGGCACTGGGACGGCCTGGTCAGCAGCCTGTATCTGCCTCATTTGACACTGTTCCTTGTCGGACTGGCTCTGCTTACGCTAATCATTAATCCATATTGGACCCATAAGAAGACTCAGCAGCTTCTCAATCCGGTGGACTGGAACTTCGCACAGCCAGAAGCCAAGAGCAGGCCAGAAGGCAACGGGCAGCTGCTGCGGAAGAAGAGGCCATAGCTGCTCCAGCCGGGGCTCCGGGGCGGCAGCAGAGCTGGCACACCGATTCTGGGAAGCCCCGCGAATGATGGCTTTTGAATTAATGAGGCAGTGAATGTTTTGTGTTTACTTCTAAGGGAAATACTAACTTTCTTTCGCATTAGTATTAATTTTGAAGTAGCTACAAAGTATTTTTAAGAAATTATAATTTTATGACTGTCTGGCAGGCTCTGTCAGTTTAGCCGCGCCGGACCGTGTCAAGCATCTAGGAGAGGAGTCCATGGTGTCCAGGCATCGGGGCGTCACACCTGTTGAGGAGTGGGGTGGCTTTGAATGCTGGAAATGGCTTCATAGTGAAGTGCCTCCCACAGGGCGGGTGGGTCAGCGTTGACTCTTTCCAGCTGCACACTCATATGCCGTGTGTCTTATTCAGAAGTCACATTCTTTTCAGTTGGAGAGAATTGGGCTAAGATAGAAAATAACATGATTTGTTCCTTATTAAAGCTTCCCAGCGTATGAAATTCTAAGCTGGGTGGGGTGGCTCACACCCGACGTAATCCCAGCACGTTGGGAGGCCGAGGCAGGTGGATCACTTGAGGCCAGGAGTTCGAGACCAGCCTGGTCAAGATGGTGAAACCCCATCTCTACTAAAATTACAAAAATTAGCCGGGTGTCGTGGCACACACCTGTAATCCCAGCTATTTGGGAGGCCAAGGCAGGAGAATTGCCTGAACCCGGGAGGCGGAGGTTGCAGTGAGCTGAGATCGCACCACTGCACTCCAGCACTCCAGCCTGGGTGACAGAGCAAGACTCTCTCTCAAAAAAAAAAAAAAAAAAAAATTCTAGACCGAAGTGTACGGCAGTGCCATCTGGTGGCAAGTGGTACAAAGACAACGCTGAGGGGTAGTGACTCCTGTAGCAGCAGAGACGCCTTGGAGTTTAACCCCCACCAACCAGAGCGTGGGCTGGTAAAGATGAAATCTTGCAAGTTTTTTTTTTTTTTAAATCATGGTACCTGTTTTAAAATGAGAAGTTATTATTCATACTGTGTTGCTCATTTGACAAAATAAGGTAAGGATTTCATAATCAGGTTGTCTGGGTTTCAGAGCTGTTTTTAATTGACTGAGTTACCTACAGGCACCCAATCTAGACCCTAATTCTGTGGTTGGTGTTCCTCTGTAGATTTCAAGACAAGTAGTGATGTCATTTTCTCCCTGAGCTGTAGGGTGGACCTGGACCCCTCAGAGATGCTCGACTGCAGGGTCCTGGGGTCCCTAGAGTGGTCCTGCAGCAGCCCCTGGCAATGAGCTGCCTGATGATGAGTCCCAAGGTACATTGTTCTACTGTTTTATACCCAGGTAGAAGTTACACAGCAATTTAGCAATGTTGTTAACAGACATACAGAATTGTGTGTGTGTGTGTGTGTGTGTGTGTGAGTGTTTTGATATAAACGTGCAATTAAAATTCAAAGTTTATTTTTTATCACAAGCACCTTTGAAATGTACGTGGAAAACGTCGGCTGCTCGTGAGAATCATGTGTGACTTACGTTCCTTATGTTTTATGGAACTCTCGGAACAGTGTTTTGTTTTTGTTTAGTTTTTGTTTTCGTTTTTTTGAGACGGAGCCTGGCTTTGGCTCCCAGGCTGGAGTCCAGTGGTGTGATCTCGGCTCACTGCAACCTCCACCTCCCGGGTTCCAGGGATTCTCCTGCCTCACCCTTTCAAGTAGCTGGGATTACAGGTACCTCTACCATGCCTGGCTGATTTTTTGTATTTTTAGTAGAGACAGGGTTTCACCATGTTGGCCAGGCTGGTCTCTGACTCCTGACTAAAAGTGATCTGCCCACCTCGGCCTCCCAAAGTTCTGGGATTACGGGCGTGAGCCACTTCACCCGGCCCGGAGCGGTGTATTTTGATTGCTGGTGCTTTAACTATATTGACCAAGGTGTATAGTAACCTATTTATCACATTTTACGAAGCAATTTTAATCTTAAACACATCCAGCAAATGGTGTCCCTGCTGAAACTTTTAACTGGAAACCTCACACCTGGCAGGCAGCACTCTCTGCAGCCGTGCCCTTGTGGAGTCAGCAGGAGCTGGTGTTTTTCAGCCAGACAGAGGCATAATAAAGTGACTGATGTTTACAGAACCCAAATGATGTCTTCCTCTCTCTCAAAATAAACTAACCTATTCATATTGCTGTGAATGCTTTATCTTGGAGATAGAAAATATAATGATAAATTCATCATGTGTTCAGAATTCGATTTGGAGTTGGAAGTGGACAGCCTAATTTTTATCTCACCTCCACTAGGACTTTGACCTTCCCAGGGGTCCACACTTTACCTCCTGTATCTTCATACGCGTGTGTGGATGCATAGAGATGGAGGTGCTGTAGAGAAGCACAGGCTCACCCGCTCCGTCCAGTGTCACCCACACATTGGTCCGGGGACCCCTCAGTGCAGAGCCTGAAGTTGGGGGTTTAGGGGTGGAAAAGGCTTCGTGAAATGTTAATGATGCGTACACCTTCCAGATGGCACAGCACTTTCCCATGGTCCTCACTGGCCTCAGTCTCCCTGACCGGCAGTGTGAGGGGATGTAGCTATAGTGGAGCATGGTACAAGCGACATTCATGAGCTCTGACTTCTTGGTGCCAGGTTGGTGTGAGCCTGGGCCCGGCCCACTCAGCGGCCCACATTGGCCAGCATTCAGCTGCACGTGTGTGCTGCGTGCTTCACATCCTCTATTGAGAGTTACAGCAAGTGTTAAACGAGGTGAGTTCACATAACAGGAATTCTGGAACTGCTTGAAAACTAGGACGATTGGGCAATATCGGCCTTAACTCCACCTGATGGCAGGTGACCCGGATAGAAAATGGCCCTGCGTTTAGCCAGGATGTGGCTCTCCAGCTTGGCTTCAGTGTGATCACTTGTCAGTGCGCTTTCTCTTTCGATAGTGAAATCCTTCTCTATACCTATGTTTTGTTTTGTTTCTTAAGTTGGGAAACAGAATGGGCCAGGGAGGTTGAGTGACTGAAGACCAAGGGTTGGTGCAGCCTCCTCGCCGCGCTGCGGGGGCTGGGCCGCACAGGCTTCTGCCCTTCTCGGTGTCCAGGCTCCTTGGGTGATGCTGGAGTTGTCATGGCCGCAGTTCAGTGTGAGATTTTTTACCAGGTATTGCGCTTAAGGGACATGATTTTCCATTTTCTTCGCCCGGACAACTTGAATGAAATGGGCACTGTTGATTCCACTTCTGTCGAGGAGCTTCGGGGCTCAGAGAGGTGATGACGTGCCCAAGGTGACGCAACTCGTGAACAGCCGTGCCTGCCTTGGGCGCAGCCTCCGGCGCCAGAGCTGGGCTCTTCAACACGGCATTTAGCGCAGAAAGTCGTGGTTCAGGCAGTATGGGCCGCTGTGACAAAACACCTAAGACTGGGTAGTTTATAAAGAACAGACATTCAGGCCAGGCACGGTGACTCACGCCTGTAATCCCAGCACTTTGGGAGGCCGAGGCGGGTGGATCATTTGAGGTCAGGAGTTTGAAACCAGCCTGGCCAACATGGTGAAACCCCATCTCTACTAAAAAAACAAAACTAGCTGGGGGTGGTGGTGCATGCCTGTGGTCCCAGCTACTTGGGAGGCTAAGGTAGAAGAATTGCTTGAACCTGGGAGGCAGAGATTGCAGTGAGCCGAGATCACGCCATTGCACTCCAGCCTGGGTGACACAGTGAGACTCCATCTCAAAAAAAAAAAAAGAACGGACATCATTTCTCACAGTTCTGGAGGCTGGAAGTCCAAGATAAAGGTGTGGGCTGATTAGTTTCTGCTGGGAACACTGCATCCTCACGTGGTGGAGGGGATGGAAGGTCAACAGGCCTCAGCTAGTTCTCCGCTGCCTTTTTATGAGGCATTAAGCCATTTGCAAGAGTAGGGGGCCCCACCTCTTAATACCACCGCAATGACAATTACAATGTCATGTGAATTCTGGAGGGGACACGGTCACACTGCAGCATCAGCACCCGGTGAATGTGGTTCTCTTCCCATGTCCGAATTTTGTGAGCTCCACACGGGCAGGGTTGCATCTGTTTTATTCTCTGATTGATTCTAAGCCCCATGTCCCTGGCACAGGATGGCTGCTTGGCAGTAGGGAGTGGATGAACCAGTAGTACCCAGGGCTGCCAGGCAGGGCCCTGCAGGGGACAGACCCAAGGGCTGATATGGGGACACCTGCTGAGGGGGGAATTTACCACGGTAAGGGCAGGGCTGGGAGGCTGGGCAGCCAGTTTCACCCTCGCACAGGCTGCCTGGCAAGACCAGCGGCTGGAGGTGATGTCCTCAGTAGAGAACGGTGGCCACTGGAAACGTGTGGCCAGAAGGGGAAACGCTCGGGCCTCTGGTGGGGGCCAGCCTGGGGTGGGGTCGGCCAGGGTCAGCTGCCTTTCCTTCATGCTGGGGAGGAGATGTTGTGTGCATGTGAGAAAGCATTTGATAGCATGCCAAAAGTTTCCTCCATTATGTGCGTGTCAAGTGTTTGACCAGGTCAGAACTCTTGTTCTATGCGAATGTGCTCACGCAGACAGAAGCGGAGGGGCTCCGTCGCTCTGCCCTCACGCCGCTGAACCGCGAGGGTCTCCCGCTCCTCAGGCTTGCGGCTCGGCCGCGAAGTGTGTCAGGTGTGCATCCTGGGTGCTCCTTTGTGCTCTGTCCTACGGTGACACAGGCGGCGTGGGGTTAGACAGGTACCGGTCAGACTACGGTGACACAGGCGGCGTGCGGTTAGACAGGTACCGGTCAGATTACGGTGGCACAGGCGGCGTGGGGTTAGACAGGTACCGGTCAGATTACGGTGGCACAGGCGGCGTGGGGTTAGACAGGTACCGGTCAGATTACGGTGGCACAGGCGGCGTGGGGTTAGACAGGTACCGGTCAGATTACGGTGGCACAGGCGGCGTGGGGTTAGACAGGTACCGGTCAGATTACGGTGGCACAGGCAGCGTGGGGTTAGACAGGTACCGGTCAGATTACGGTGGCACAGGCGGCGTGGGGTTAGACAGGTACCGGTCAGATTACGGTGGCACAGGCGGCGTGGGGTTAGACAGGTACCGGTCAGATTACGGTGACACAGGCGGCGTGGGGTTAGACAGGTACCGGTCAGATTACGGTGGCACAGGCTGCGTGGGGTTAGACAGGTACCGGTCAGATTACGGTGGCACAGGCGGCGTGGGGTTAGACAGGTACTGGTCAGATGCACGGGCTCCCTAAACCCCTGCTGTGGCTTCGGCAGTAAAGACAGGACGCACCCATGTCACAAGAGGAGCACAGGCAGGGGTGTTGGTGTTGGGGCAGCCCTCAGGGTCTCCAGACCCCAGCCCCACTCACACAGCAGCCTAGGAAGGAAGGGCAGAGTCCCAGGTGTCAGCTGGTGGGTCTCCCAGGAGCTGCCCCTCCCTGGAAGTCACAGGACAGGAATGACAGATCAGGGAACTGCAGGAAGCTGCCACCTCTGGGGTCAGAATATGCCCAGCCTGCGGGGGCTCTCTATCGGGGTCTTCGAGAGCCAGACAGCCTGCCTTGTGCTGCATACCTGGCTTTGCTCTGTGCAGAACCCAGCACACGTGATTTTGTGTGACATGCCAGCAGCCTGGCTCCCAGGACAGGAGGCCTGCCCTGGGGGAGGGGCTGCAGGAGGAGGGGGGGCAGGCACCCATGAGTCTGTCCAGCCTTGTCACAGATGCATCGCCCACCCTGCGGTCCTGATTTCAGCTCACCTCAGAGTAAATCAGAATAAACTGCACCCAGACTTTCACGAATGCATGTTGACGCTTTCAGTTCACCCCTTTCTTTGCTAACTTTCTTCCTATTTTCTTCTAATGCGAGAGCTTATTAATTCCATATTTATCATTTTGAATAACTTTTCTCCTTTTTAGTAACAAAATGTACTTCACTCTTAGTAAAATGTATTTACTATTTTAGTAACAAAAATATACTTGCCTAATCATGTTTAAAATATAGTGATGTGAAAAATTCAGACGTCTCTATTTCCTTTCTTCCGATGACTCAACCCCAAATGTCTGGAATTGATTCCGAGGTATCCAGGACCCACAGCCAGCCATCCAAGAGGAAAAAGAAACCACACCCTTCCTTCTGGGAACCTGGCCAGGAACCCCAGAGCACAGGCGCCTGGCCTTAGTGACACTTCTTTTCCACATCTGCAGGCCCATGGAGTGAATTCATTTCTTTTCTCTCTGCATGTATTTTGCTTTTACCGTTGTGCTGTTTCACGCTTGGCAGCCTCAGTTAGCACTCCAGCCCGCCTGAAGCCGTGCACAGCCCATTCCTGCAGGGTTTGATACCTGCAACCTCAAACCCATCAAAAGAGTCCAAAAATTAAACCAAAGTTAAAATCCTCCATTATTACAGAAAGTTATTAAATGTCAAGTCTCAATCTGAAAAGTTTCTGCCAAAACTTTACATAAAAAACTTTTTTTTTTTAATTTAAAACAGGTTCTCTCTATCGGCCAGGCGTGGAGTGCAGTGGCGTGATCGTGGCTCACTGTAACCTTAAACTCTTAGGCATAAGTGATCCTCTTGCCTCAGCCTCCAAAGTAGCTAGGATCACAGGCGCATGTCACCATGCCTAGCTAATTTTTAAATTTGTTGTGTAGAAATGGGGTCTTGCTGTCTGGCTCAGGTTGGTCTCAAACTCCTGGGCTCAGGCAGTCCTCCCATACTGGCCTCCCAAAGTGCTGGAATTACAGGCATGAGCCACCGTGCCTGGCCTACACAGAAAAGTTTTATAGTCCTTGTAACGTTCACGTTTTCTGTGTTGTTTTTCAAAAATCATATGGGAAATGCAAAATCCCAATTGGAACACAGTGCATTTTAGCTGCTGTTTCATTTGTTGCAAGGAATTTCCAAGCATATCTGGTCAACCCCAGAGATTTTGTTTCCACACAAAACAATCACGGAGCACAGAACGTTAGAGCCATAGAGTGGTTTTGTGGCAACAGCCAAAGCTTAGAAAGGTGGAGGCCACCATGCGATATTCCCATTGTGTGTTTTCTGTAATTTCAGATTATCTCAAATAGAAAGCACGCAGCCCTTAAAAAAATAAAGCTCAGGAAAAATCTCATTTGCTAAATGTGGCTTTTTACATTTTAATTTGGAACTAGTTGCAGGACTGGAATTGCATTCTGCCAGCGTCGGTCCCTGGTCAGCCAGTCCTCTGCCAGCTGGTGTCTGTCTTCTGGCCCTTGGCATGCACACAGCACAGTTCTGGCCACTGAGAAGGGGAGGGCTTGCAGCTGAGTGCGTTTGCCTTTGCAAGTGAAGGCAAGCCTGGATTGAGGACACCTTCCCGCCCCTTCCTGCCTCCTTTTTCCTTGAAATACAGTCCCGATGCCTATAGGGGCACCTGCCGTTGGCACCATGAGGGGCAGGCATGAGGATCCACATCCACACTCAGGCATGGGAAGCAACGAGTGGCACAGCCCTGGGCCACCAGCCTGGGGTCCCATCACGCAAGGAAAACACCGGCCTGACCGCAAAAGTGAAGGAAACGCCCCACCTGCCGTGTTCACCTTTACCCTTTCTCACAGACGTTCCTAAACACACAGGATGAAGGTGTTAACCTGCTAACCATGTTAACCACGTGAATGATAGAAAGCTCTCCCTAGGAGACACTTACGGTTTGCAACTGTGGACTTTTAAAAATCATCTTGGCTGGGAGGGGAGACAGAGTGGAGGGGCTGGACTCGCCGCCTGCATCTCAGATGCTGCAGCTTCAAAAGGAGGCTTCCTGGTTTAAAGGAAGTTGCTCTGTTCCGTTTTATTTTTGTTTTTAGCTTCTTATTTTGAACTAATTTCAAACTTACAGAAATTTGAGGGGGAAAAAAGAACAAATCTTCCATATACTCTTTATCCCTATTTATCTATTTTTAACTTTTTGCCACGTTTGTCATAGCAGTGTCTCTTCCCTTTCCCACTGTCTCTGTCCCTCTCCTTGCCTCTTCCTCTTTCTTTCTTTCCCCTACGTTACTTTATATCCCTTACCCCTTAATACTTTCGTGTTTATTGGCTGGGTACAGTGGCTCACATCTGTCATCCCTGCACTTTGGGAGGCTGAGGCGGGTGGATCACCTGATGCCAGGAGTTCGAAACCAGCCTGGCCAACATGGTGAAATCCCATCTCTACTAAAAATACAAAAAATTAACCAGGTGCACACCTGTAATCCCAGCTACTAGGGAAGCTGAGGCAGGAGAATTGCTTGAACCCGGGAGGTGGAGGTTGCAGTGAGCTGAAATCACGCAATCTCATTCCAGCCTGGGTGACAGAGTGAGACTGTGTCTAAAAAAAAAATAAAAAATTCAATGTTTATTTCCTAAGAATAATGATATTCTCTTATGTAACCACATAAGCTATCAATTCAAGAAATGTAACATGGAGCCAGTACCTTTTATCTCATCTACCGTTTTCATTCCAACTTTGACGGTTTCTTTCCTATCCTTTTTTTTCTTGGTCCAGGACGGAGTACCAGATCACATGCTCTGTTTAGTAATCATATCTCTTTATTCTTCTTTAACCTGCTGCAGTTCTTCAGCCTGTCTTTGTCTTTAACAGCAGTGATATTTCTGAACAAATACCAGCTGGTTATATTAAAGAATGCCCTCAATTTGGTTTGGTCTGGTATTTTGTCAGGATGGAATTCGAGTTATATATTTCTGGCTGGAGTGCTCTGTAAACGGTGTCCTTGAGATATCAAACACAGAGACGTCTGTCAGCTTGCCCTGATTGGCAATGTTAATTTTGGTCCCTGATAAGGTGGTTCCTCCTCTGAACAGTCACTGATTTTCCTCGTCCTTGGGTATATTGCGGGAGATCTGCTGAGGCTGAGAACGCCCTGTCTGCACATAAAGCTGCCTCCTGCCCCAAGCTGGCCTCACTGGCACCAAGTCACGTTTGCACTCAGTTGGGTCAACCTTCACGGTGATGGCTCAATATTGCTAATTTTCCAACTCCGTCACTTCTTACTGCATTCTATAAAGAAGGGCTACTTTCTTCCCAGTGTTTGTTTATTATCCCTGTGGGTTCTTGGATTCTCTGTTTGGCAACGGTATTCTATTTATAGTGGGTTATAATTGATTGTTGTTGTGATGTTGCTGCTCCCGTTGTTCCAGGTTTGCTGTGGGGGTCTCTTCAGGCTGTTGAATCGTCCTTCTTTGTACCAGTCCTTGTTTTGAGCACATCCTTATTTTCTTTTTTCTTTTTTTTTTTTACATGTCTGCATTTCTTTTTATTATTATTATTATTTTTATTTTACTTTAAGTTCGAGGGTACATGCGCACAATGTGCAGGTTTGTTACATATGCATGTGCCATGTTGGTGTGCTGCACCCATTAACTCGTCATTTACATTCGGTATATCTCCCAATGCTATCCCTCCCCCTCCCCCCACCCCACGACACGCCCCGGTGTGTGATGTTCCCCTTTCTGTGTCCAAGTCTTCTCATTGTTCAATTCCCACCTATGAGTGAGAACAATGCGGTGTTTGGTTTTCTATCCTTGTGATAGTTTTATCAGAATGATGGTTTCCAACTTCATCCATGTCCCTGCAAAGGACACGAACTCATCCTTTTTTATGGCTGCATAGTATTCCGTGGTGTATATGGAGCACGTCCTTCTTTCTTTTCTTTTCTTTCTTGCTTTTTTTTTTTTGTGACAGAGTCTCACTCTGTTGCCAGGCTGGAGTGCAGTGGCGGCTCACTGCAACCTCTGCCTCCTGGGTTCAAGCGATTCTCCTGCCTCAGCTTTCCAAGTAGCTGGGACTACAGTCATGTGCCACCATGTCTGGGTAATTTTTGTATTTTTAGTGCAGATGGAGTTTCACTTTGTTGGCCAGGATGGTCTCGATCTCTTGACCTTGTGATCCGCCTGCGTCGCCCTCCCAAAGTGCTGGGATTGAAGGCGTGAGCCACGCACCTGGCCACGTCCTTATTTTGTATGCAGCAGACACACGCCTTCTCTGCCGTGTGGTTGGATCCAGCCCTTTCTCTGAGAATTCTGGTTCTTTTTAGTGAGGAATGGAATTTAGAAGTTAAGATGTGGGTGGGAGATGTGCTCATTGCTCATGGGCCATCAGAACCTCCACACCCTTCTACCTCTGCTGCAACCCAGCCCCACGGCACTTCCTTGCCTGCCTCATTCCTGTGCATCCCGTCTTGCATGGTGACGACCCCGGCTCACAACAGCAGAGACAGCATCACGCATGGCTCAAACACGCTGTAACACAGAGCAGGTTTGGAATGGCTCCACCCACAGGGCCACAAGAAACAAACCCATGGAGAGTTCCAGATCTGTTTGCAGCTTTTTTCTTTAGTCTGAGGGTATGCAGTCAAAGTGCTGTCTCCAAAAATTACTTAAATTTGTTTTGTCCCGACTCCCCTTCAGATGATGGCTAATCATTTGACAGACACTTGGGTTCCTTTGTTGGCATTCTGTTGTAGCATTTTCCCCGATTCTTGATAATTTTATTATTTGAATATGTAAAATGTCATGATTCCAAAAGTTAAAACTATTCAAAAAGCTGTGCCCAGAGAAATGTCTTCTCCTCTCTATTTCTCCTGCCCTGTTTTCTCCAAAAGGAACCAGTTCGTTTATTTTAACAGCTTTCCTGAACTATAATTCATATACCATAAAATTCACCCGTTTAAAGTGTATTTAGTGTTTTTTAGTATTCATGGAATTGTGAAACCACCGCAATCAATTTTAGAACATTTTTATCACCTAAAAAAAAAAAAAAAAGTATTTGTCCCCATTAGTAGCTATTACCCATTTCCCGCCCCCCGACCCTCACTCCCGCCCCCCCTCCCCCCGCCCCGCCCCAGTCCTCCTCCCTGACCTTAGGCAACTGCTATCTTTTTGTCTCTATGGATTTGCCCATTCTGGACATTTCCTATAAGGGGAATCATACAATACATAGCCTTGTGCAGCTGGCTTCTCTCACACAGCACCATGTTTTCAAGGTTCATCCGTGTTGTAGCGTGTACCAGTTCTTTATTCCCTTTTATTGCCAAATCATACCCCATCGTATGGATTGACCACATTTTATGTAGCTGTCCATCAGTTGATGGCCATTTGCGTCATCTGCCCTTTTTGGCTGTTATGAACAGTTCTGGGATGAACATCATGTGCATGTTTTTGTGGGGACATAGGCGTCCCCTCTCTTATGTATTCCGCTAGGAATGGAACTGCTGGGTCCCACTGCTGGTTAGATGCTGAGGAACTGCCAGACCGTTTCACGAAGCACCTGCACTCTTGGCTGCTTTACGCTCCCTTCAGTGCGTGAGGGTTCCGGGCTCGGCACATCCTCAGCAGCCCTTGTTACTGCCCATCTGCGTCGCGACCGCCATGCTAGTGGGTGCGCGGTGGTGCCTGAGTGTGGCTTGCTTCCCATTTCCCTGATGGCTGATGACGCTGAGTGACCTCACTGGCACCTGGCCCCTTCGTGTGTCTTCCTGAGAGCAACGCCTCTTCACATCCGGTGTCCTTTTGGCCTGGTAGGGTAATTCTTTGATCGTGGAGTTGGAAGAGTTCTGGATCTATTCTGTATGCACACCACTTATGAGACACCTGGTCTGCACAGACCTCTTTGCACTCTGGGGCTTGTCTTCTCACTCTCTTGATGTTTCTAGAAGTTTCTATGTTTCTTTTGTTGTTTGTGGTTTTCGGATCATATCACAAAAGGCTTTGCCTAACCTGAGACTGCAAAGATTGACACTCATAGTTTTTTCTGAGAGTTTTCTAGTTTTACCTTTTACATTTAGGTCTTTGATCCCTTTCTAGTTTATTTTTCTACTTAGATTAGTTAACCTGTTCTAGGCCGTCTTACACATGAAATCATGCAGGATTTTTTTTACAGAAATCCTTCTTGTTACAATTTCAGCATTTATATTTTTGAAAAACATATGTCTTTCATCTATATTTCCTAACTAATGTAACATTTTTTAAAAAGTACTTTTTTATGTTAGCAAATCTCTCTATATCTGTAGGGTCTTTTGTTCTATATTTTGTTGATTTGTATCTTACTTGCTTGTTTTTTGGTTTGATTGGTCTTTTTCAAGCTCTACTTTATTAATCTTTCTAAGAAGTAGTGGTTTTTTTGGCTAATCTTTTTGATAAGTTTTTATTTGTTTCTGTCCTTATATTCATTATTTCCTTTCTTCTTGTTGTTTTCAATGTATTCAGTGTTTCTATTCAGTTTTCAGATTTTTGTATTGAATATTTTGTTTTATTTTGAAGTTTTCTTGCTTCCTGTAAATACATTAGAAATTATAAAATTTCTTTTAAGTGCTAATTTAACATTGTTTCACAAAGTGTGACATTTTTGTTTTTATTTTCATTTGGTTCTAAATATTTTGTAACCCTCTTCTGGTTTACTTTTAAACCCAAGGGATATTTAGTAATGTCATTTCCTTTCCAAAAATGTGGTATTTTAAAACTTCTATCCTTTTGTTATTTATTTCAAAATTTATTTTACTATTACATTAGAACACACTTTGTTGCTTTAGAGTTTATTGTGTTTCTTTCTTGCTAAATACATTTTTCATGATATATGATCAAATTGTGTAAACATTCTATGCATTTTTAAAAGTATAGTCTCCATCGGATGCAGAGTTCTATGTAAATATAATAATTTAGAATTTGTATGTTTCAAATCTTTGATGTCTGCTATTTTATATGTTTTAAGAAATATCTAGTATAATTGCCAACTTATGTTTTTCTCTGTAGAGTTGTGTCAGTTTTTGCTTTTTTTTTTTGAGACGGAGTCTCCTCTGTCACCAGGCTGGAGTGCAGTGGCGCAATCTCGGCTCACTGCAACTTCTGCCTCTCGGGTTCAAGTGATTCTCCTGCGTCATCCTCCCGAGTAGCTGAGATTACAGGCATGCGCCACCATGCCCAGCTAGTTTTTGTATTTTTAGTGGAGATGAGGTTTCGCCATGTTGGCCAGGCTGGTCTCGAAAACCCTTGACCTCAGGAGATCCGCCCGCCTCGGCCTCCCAAAATGCTGGGATTACAGACATGAGCCGCTGCACCCGGTCAGTTTTTGCTTTTTTAAAGAAACATGCTTAAGTACACATGTGATCATGATGGTTGCATCTTGTTCATCTGTTTCCTCTTTCAGGTGTGTAACAGCATGCTGTTCGCTGATTGCTTTGGACTTGGCAGATAGCAGGGCTACTATCTAGTTTTATATTGATTCCAATTTGCCTAGTACTTCTTTTTCTATTTATTTTAAACTTTTTAGTATCCTTTACTTTTAAATATGCTTCTCTTGGAAAACTGTTGATTCTTTCTTTATAAATCCAAGCTTCGTATTGGTGTTTTAGCTCATTAAGTTGATTGTGTCTGGTTGCAGCAGGACTTTATTTCTGCCTCCTTCATTCATAATTGGCTTTTACATTCATTTCTTTTTCCCTAAGTTTCTCCTATCGATTTTAATGGTGGTTACCTTTAGTTTAAGATCCACATCAATACATAGCTAATCGTATTGATTTCCTGAGCAGATTAATATTAAATCTTTGGACTCCCATGTTGATTCTGTTTAAATATTTACTTTTGCATTGTTGTAAATGTACTTCATCTTCTCTCCTCACTTTGGTCCTGGCCTTTTTTTTTTTTTTTTTGAGACGGAGTTTCGCTCTGTTGCCCAGGCTGGAGTGCAGTGGTGCGATCTTGGCTCACTGCAAGCTCTGCCTCCCGGGTTCACGCCATTCTCCTGCCTCAACCTCCCGAGTAGCTGAGACTACAGGCGCCCGCCACCCCGCCCAGCTAATTGTTTGTATTTTTAGTTGAGATGGAGTTTCACTGTGTTAGCCAGGATGGTCTTGATCTCCTGACCTTGTGATCCGCTCGCCTCGACCTCCCAAAGTGCTGAGATTACAGGCGTGAGCCACCGCACCTGGCTGCTCCTGGCTTTTTTAGATAACAATAGACTACTAAAATCTATTTGATCTAAAGTTTTTTATACCCATAGTTCCTATCAACATCCTCCTGGATTTATTTATCTTCTAATTTCCTTGAAGAACGTTTTCAAAGTGAGTTTTGGAAAAGTGGATCTTCTGAGGCCTTTTATATTGGAAGATAATTTGGTATGTGCTTATACTTCAGTGACAGTTGAGCTGGCTATAAAATTCTATGTCAAATTCCTTTTTTTATGTTTTATTTTATTTTATTTTATTTTATTTTATTTATTTATTTATTTTTTAGACAGAGTCTTGCTCTGTCTCCCAGGCTGGAGTGCAGTGGCATGATCTTGGCTCAGCTCACTGCAACCTCCAACTCCCTGGTTCAAGGGATTCTCCTGCCTCAGCCTGTCTAGTAGCTGGAATTACAGGCATGCGCTGCCATGCCCAGCTAATTTTTGTATTTTTAGTAGAGACGGTGTTTCACCATGTTGTCCAGGATGATCTCCATCTCCTGACCTCATGATCCACCTGCCTCGGCCTCCCAAAGTGCTGGGATTACAGGTGTGAGCCACTGCACCTGGCTTCTATGTCAAATTATTTTCCTTGAGGGCTTTAAAAATATTACTCCAGTGTCTTCTGGCACCCATTGTGGCCTCTGGAAACTCTGAAATGAAACTTACTCTTTTGTCAGTGATCTGCTCTTCTTCATAGAAACTTTTGGAATTTTCTTTGATATTCTTGAGTTTCACTGTCAATTATGGGTAAGTTTCCCATCCATCCTATTAGACACTCTCTAAGCCCTTTCAACTTGAGAGCTTTCATCTTTAATTTTTCTGATTTTACCTTTGAATATTTTTTTCTCCATTTTTATTTTTCTCTGTTCCTGGAACTCCATTATCTGTACATTTCCACTTCTTTAATTACCTTACTTACCTTTAACCATTCTTTCATACATTCTCTCTTTTCCTATTGCCTTTGGGGTGAGTTGCCTCTAGCCTGCTCATCTGGCTTTGGCTGCATTTGGCCTCATCATGTTCCTTATTTCAATTATTTCATTGGATGCTAGACATTCCTTCTTCCCTGCTTTATGTCTCTGGTGTCTGCCTTTATCTCTTTGAATATGTTTATTTGTATAAATTCTTGGTGCATCTGTTTTAAAACTTTGAACAGGGGAGGCTGAGGTGGGCAGATCACCTGAGGTCAGGAGTTCGAGACCAGCCGGGCCAACATGGTGAAACTCTGTCTCTAATAAAAATACAAAACTTAGCCAGGTGTGGTGGCGCGGGCCTGTAATCTCAGCTACTCAGGAGGATGAGGCAGGAGAATCGCTTGAACCGAGGAGGCAGAGGTTGCAGTGAGCCGAGATCACGCCACTGCACTCCAGCCTGGGCGACAGAGCAAGATTTGTCTCAAAAAATAAAAATAAAATAAATAAATAAATAAACTTTAAATGGCATCCTTAGCTCAACTTGTTCTTGTTCAGGGGTTGCAGTCCTTGGGTAAATAAAATAAATAAATAAATAAACTTTAAACAGTATCCTCAGCTCAACTCGTTTCTTGTTCAGGGGTTGCAGTCCTTGGGTGTTAGCTCTTTGGAGTGGGTGTGTTCCCCCTGGGGTATAAGACACTGGTCGGAAGATCCCAGGTGAGGTCTTCCCCAGAACTGGGGTTGGGAAGGGAAAGAGTCTGGGCTAACCACTCCATTAGCTGCAGCCCTACCGCCAGCACCTGGGGGCAGGGAGTTACAGTCAAACTCTTAAAAAACAAATAGCCGAAAGTGCAGTGAGGTTAAGCATCCCCTGAGGACTGGACGAGCAGACCTGCCTGCTTTGCAGAAGACGGGGAGGGGAAGGAGAGCAGGGCCATCTCCTGCCCAGCCCCGAGCCTCCCTGATAGTCCTCCCACCCACCCAGCTCCGGATGATGCTCCCACTCACAAGATTGCTGCTTTTTCCATAGACCGGTAGGAACTCCAGGCCTTTTCTCCAGCTGTCCCTGAATTCTCCTTGTTTCCTTCCTTCCTAACTTCCTCCATCCAAGGCTGGAGGCCCCAGTTTGGAAATCAGGACCCACGTCCCCCTCCACACCTTCCTATTTGTGTAGTTCTGTTTCGAGTCTGGACTCAGTAAATCTCTCTGTCCTCCTGGACCAGGTGTTGGCGCACTGGGGCTGCCGTGGAAACTGCCCTGGATGTTTCCCAGTCATTACAGATCCCAAGACACTCCTAGGTCCCAGATCCCCAGATCTGGAGGAAAGGGGCCCCTTCTGCCAGGCTTCCTCCCTGGGTCACAAACTCACATCTGCCTGGACTCCCACTGCTGTCTCTCTCTTTCTCTCTCTCTCCCCTCTTTTTAACTGTCCACTAGGTTTTATGGATAACTCCTGAGAGAATGTCCCAGTCTGCTTACCATCACATTGATCCCGCCCACCAGCATTGAGGCTCTGCACTGTCTCCCCTCCCTTGCCTGTCCAAAGCCCCTTCCACCCGGGACCGTCGCCCCTTTACACTCAGGGGTACTGGTCCATCTATGCCATGCTGAGAGCTGCTGCCATGAAAAGACCCCTGGATCTCACCCCCTCCAGCAGCTACCTCTTCTCTTTCTAGAGAAACCACCTAGAAGGACTTCCTACACACACCAGCCCCACCTCCTCTTTCCTGTTGTCTCTTAGGCCCAAGGCCCACCACAGTGCCCTTTGCCCCCCACAGTCACCCCTGCCAGGGCACCGGCGGCCAGCACTTGCTCCACCAACCCTTCCTCCAGAAGAGCTTTTTTGGGAGGGATCCTGGAGCCCGATCCTGGTCCCCCTCCCATCATCCTAACCTCCTCCTGTCTTTCTTCTCCATCTGTAGGATCTTCCCAGGCAAAGTCACCTGTAAATCACATCCATACCCAAGAAGCTCCCAAAATCTCACTTCCAGCCCAGACCTGAATACTGGGTCAGCTGACACCTTATCTGGAGCATCACACACTTTCTACAGCCTCAGGCCACCCACACCAGGGCTTTGCTTTCCCCCACAAGGTGCTCTTCTTCCTGTTACCTCCATCTCGGTACAGGGGGCTGCTCTCCTTCCAGGTGTTGCAGTCAAAACTTTTGGGATTTTTCTTGATTCCTCTTTCTCTTCAAACCCACTTCCCATCCCGAGGCCCGTCCTGTTGACCTAGCCTGTTCATAATAAAGCCCTGCGCCCTTTCCTCCTCCTCTAGTGGTTGGATGAGTGTTCGTGTACCAGTCACTAATTTGATCCCAGAGTCTCCACTAGAGACAGGAGATGCCTCTGCACACACTGACACACACCGAGTGTCACAGCAATTCCACTGGTGGGAGACAGACACCCCGGAGCATTTCAACAATCGCTTTTCTCTGTTGAAGTTTTCTTCTGCCCCATTCACTGTCTCCTCTGACCACACAATTTGGTTTTGCCTCTTTCTCCATGTCGAAGGCTTCCTTGTGTCTGGTGGTCTTCGACTATTTATTTCTCAGCATGAGGCACTGAGAAAGGATGTGGAACCCCGGGTGTGCGTGTGTGTGTGTGTGTGTGTGTCTGTGGCATAAGGAGGTTTGCCTGTGGGACCGGGGATAACCAGGGAGGCGCGTGGGTCTCATACTGAGGAACTCTTGAATCACGCAGATTTTTCTCATGGGTGTGTTTCCCTGAAAGGAATTCTGGGGTCCCTGGGGTGCGGGGCGGAAGGATCTGTCATGCTGTCCCCTGGGGTGCGGAGCGGAAGGATCTGTGATGCTGTCCCCTGGGGTGTGCGGCGAGAGGATCTGTCATGCTGTCCCCTGGGGTGTGCGGCGAGAGGATCTGTCATGCTGTCCCCTGGGGTGTGCGGCGAGAGGATCTGTCATGCTGTCCCCTGGGGTGCGGGGCGGAAGGATCTGTCATGCTGTCCCCTGGGGTGCGGGGCGAGAGGATCTGTCATGCTGTCCCCTGGGGTGTGCGGCGAGAGGATCTGTCATGCTGTCCCCTGGGGTGCGGGGCGGAAGGATCTGTCATGCTGTCCCCTGGGGTGCGGGGCGGAAGGATCTGTCATGCTGTCCCCTGGGGTGCGGGGCGAGAGGATCTGTCATGCTGTCCCCTGGGGTGTGCGGCGAGAGGATCTGTCATGCTGTCCCCTGGGGTGTGCGGCGAGAGGATCTGTCATGCTGTCCCCTGGGGTGTGCGGCGAGAGGATCTGTCATGCTGTCCCCTGGGGTGTGAGGCGGAAGGATCTGTCATTCTGTCCCCTGGGGTGCGGAGCGGAAGGATCTGTCATGCTGTCCCCTGGGGTGCGGAGCGGAAGGATCTGTCATTCGACTGCCACAACTCTTGGATCCAAGTAGGCAAAGGCCACTGTTCTTTCACTCCTCCTGCTTCCCATTGCTGCCTCAGGATCTCCATGACAGTGTCTTCTGGCCGATTCCTCCTGGGCCCTCCGAGCTGGGCTGGGGCTGCCACCTGCCCTCCTGGGTGTGGAGCAGGACCTGGTGATCCTGTGCCTCCTGCTTTCAGCCTCGCCTGATGTCCCCTTTCAGAGATGCCTGAAAGGCTCTCCCTGTAGCTCCGGTAGCCTCCTCTGGTTGGCCTCACCGGTGCCCATTCGTCCATCATCTGTCCATCTGCCTCCAGCCCTCAGACTTTGCCATGGCCCTCTGCCTTTCACTGTCTTGGCACTGGACCATTGTATTCCTCCTCCTGCTCCTCCTTCTTCTTCTCCTCCTCCTCCTCCTTCTTCTTCTCCTCCTCCTCCTTCTTCTCCTCCTCCTCCCCCTCCCCCCTCCCCCTCCCCCTCCCCGTCCCCCTCCTCCTCCTCCCCCTCCTTCTCCTCCCCCTCCTCCTCCTCCTCCTCCAATTCTTGTTCTTCTTCTTCTTCTTCTTCCTCTTCCTCTTCCTCTTCCTCTTCCTCTTCTTCTTCTTCTTCTTCTTCTTCTTCTTTTTCTTCTAAATGGAGACAGGGTCTCACCATGTTGCCCAGGCTGGCCTTGAATTCCTGGCCTTGAACAATCCTTTTGTCTCGGCCTCCCAAAGAGCTGGGATTACAGGTGTGAGCCACTACACCCGGCCATGCCTTCTATCTTCTTTCTCTACTTTCAACACTTAAATATTTTTAGCCAGGTTTCAGCAGGAAATGGATGGACATGAGGGCTCTGTCTGCCTGTTGGACCAGAAGCCCTTGCATCTGATCTAAACAAACCCCTTCTTGCCTTTGTTAGGGTTTCTGCTTGGTTTTATTCACAAAATTGACGTCTCAACTCTAATATTTATGTTCTTGTCACAGACAACTGTGATAGACTAATCAGTTACCTAATTGTCCTAAACCCAATCTTTTAATAAAATCTGGTTTCTTAGGACCTGGAGCGACAGGTTTGCGAGAAAGCTCCTCCCTGGATGAGGCCAAGAGCGTGGGAGTGAGTTCCAGGCTCCCAGAAGTGGGAAGTATTTTGGAAGTATTTTGGATTTAGGCGGTAAAGAATTCCCTATAAAAATAGCTGAACAGATTGGCCTCATATCACTGTGGGACTTTCTTGGAACATGAGGTGAGGTTATGGGTTGGCTTGCAAATAAAACCAAACACATTTCCCAATGAGGGAATGGGGCTGTGGTTAGGATGGGATCCGTGGGGGTTCTGGGGTGCTGGCAGGGCTCTGCTTGTGATCTGGTTACATAGCTATTTGCTTTATAATCATTTAGTAAATGTGTGATTTGTGAATTCTTCTGCATATGTTTTATTTCACAATAAAATGTCAACTTTTTTTTAACAACTAAGCAAAGTTAAGAACAATGCAGTGTAATTTCCTCGGAAATACGCTTTGACAGTTATTTAATTGGGCAAGTGGAAAATTACTTTTTATGAAGATGGTTTCTGCATATCATGAAAATGCCGTGTGCTGAACCATGCAGTAAGTGAAAGCGTCTAGATAAGGGCAGCCATTTGTTCTTCCCGATAAGGCACTCTCTACTGTTTTCTCTGGAATCAAACTGGCACGCCTGATGACTGGTGTTTTTATAAATCAGTGAGTATTTACATGTCTCAAACAGGCAAGTTTAAAACCACAAAGTCAGGGGCATGTTAAAAATTTGACTTCGGGTCTTAACGATCCACTGATCTTTTCATTTCTTCATTTTGGGTCCGGCTGCTTTGCATGAGGATGTTTTTCTCCCGTCTCTTATTGCCTGGCTTACAGGAGAGTTGGGTGATAGGAACACAAGGAGCAGAGAACGCACTGGCCTCTGACAGCCGCTCTGTGCAGATTCAGTCCTTCAGCCACCCGCAGGAATTGCCGCCAGAGTAGGACATGTCTTCTACCCTCTTGGAAGTGATGAAACCACCTTTCAGAAATTACAGCAGTGAGAAAACTATGACGTTGAAAGATACCTGATCTAACCAACCCCCATCCTGCCTTTGACCTCCAAACTGTCTTTCATCACTCCTAGGCCTGGGCCAAACTAATTTTGGAAGATATTTATAGTTTAAACGATAATAGCCCTTCTCCCGAACTGAACTGCCTGTGTAAAGCTAATGAAAGGCCAGTAGGTTAGGAGGATGAGAGGAGCCTGGATTCTGCTAAAATATAGATGTAAACGACGACCAGCCATTACTCTGGAGGTCACAAGATTTGCAGCTTCTGCAGATAAACATCACTATTGTAGAACCTAAGATTGGCCGTTTGAGATGTCCTTTCAAGTTTTTGCATTTCTGATGTCCGACTGATCCTGTGGCCCCACTCAGAAGCGGACTCCCTGGCCTGCTAAACTACCCTTGAAATACAGTAGCCTCCAAATTTTCAGGGAAATTGATTTAAGTAATGGTCAGGCCTCTGAGCCCAAGCCAAGCCATCGCATCCCCTGTGACTTGCACGTATATGCCCAGATGGCCTGAAGTAACTGAAGAATCACAAAAGAAGTGAATATGCCCTGCCCCACCTTAACTGATGACATTCCACCACAAAAGAAGTGTAAATGGCTGGTCCTTGCCTTAAGTGATGACATTACTTTGTGAAAGTCCTTTTCCTGGCTCATCCTGGCTCAAAAAGCTCCCCCACTGAGCATCTTGCGACCCCCACTCCTGCCCGCCAGAGAACAAACCCCCTTTGTCTGTAATTTTCCTTTACCTACGCAAATCCTATAAAACGGTCCCACCCTTATCTCCCTTCGCTGACTCTCTTTTCGGACTCAGCCCGCCTGCACCCAGGTGAAATAAACAGCCATTTTGCTCACACAAAGCCTGTTTGGTGGTCTCTTCACACGGACGCGCATGAAAGGAATAACTCCATCTCCCACGTGGCGTGGCTGGCCTCGTGTCAGTTAAACTTTCTTTATTGCAACACCATGGTTTCAGTGAATTGGTTTTCTCTGTGCAGTGGGCAGGAGTTTTAATTTCTTAATTTTGTAGCCAGCCTTCAGGCGGTGACAGTGATTGGACAATCACTTTAGTAGCATGAGATACTGAGGCTACTGCACTCGGATGGAATGGGCAGGAAACATGACTTGAATGCACCATGGACTCTACACCAGCATCTGTCCCCTGCAAAAGGGGCTCTGGGAACTAGAACAGTCATTCCCACCTTCTGAGCGCATTAGATCACTGCAGGGAGCATTGGAACGTGCTTTCCTGGGCCGCTCTGGGCCCAGGCTCCCATGTGAGCATCCGTTTTAAACCAAAAATAAAATTCCGAAAACCAAAAGCCCCCCATCCAACTGAATGGACCCCTACTCTTGGCCAAGAGGATTCCAAACAAACCTGAAAAACAAGTCAGGCCGGACGGGAAGGGGAGGGTCTGATACGCCTCATTGTATCCTCTCCCTTTGGGGTCAGGAACAGCCGATGGCATTAACATTAACACAGAGACCTTCGGACTGACCAGACAGGCTCTGGAAGTGATAGGAACAAGGCCTAGGGTGCAGGAGGAGCCTCGAGGGCTCAGCTGGGCTAGCCTGGGTGGAGGGGCCACAAGAAACCCCTGAAATGACAGAGGTCAAGTTTCATGGCCAGAAAGACTGGAGTCAGAGTGAGGAAGGGGGATGCAGTGGCCAGCCTTTGCTGGGAGCTGCCTCTGTGGCCACACCCAAAACTCCTCCCCCTGCATCGGCCACTCCAGTCCTTACGGTGGAACCACAGGCTCTTGTGAAAGGAAGATAAATCTCGAGACCCCAAGTCACTAAGCCAAAGGGAAGAATCAAGCTGGGAACTGCATCAGGGAATCCCGCCTCCCATTTTACTTAAAACTGCAGATGCAGGCTGGGCATAGTTGTTCACACCTGTAAGACCAGCACTTTAGGAAACTGAGGCAGGAGGATTGCTTGAGTCCAGGAGTTTGAGACCATCCTGGGCCATGTAGCCAGGCCCTGTCTCTAAAAAATAAGAAAAAAATGCAGATTCACTAAGCCAGACTAAGGCAAGAGTGACTGTTCCTCTACCCCCCTTTCACATGTAAATTGTGTATTTGGTGAAAGAAGGGCTAATCCCAGACTCAAAAGAATGCAACTGTTTGTCTCTTATCTGCCTGTGACCTGGAAGCCCCCACTTTGAGTTGTCCCATCTTTCCAGACCAAACCAATGTGCATCTTACACCTACTGATTGATGTCTCACGTCTCCCTAAAATGTATAAAACCAAGCTGTGCCCCGACCACCCTGGGCACATGTGGTCAGGACCTCCTGAGGCTGTGTCACGGGCTCATCCTTAACCTTGGCAAGTAATATGGTTAGCCTTGTGTCCCCACCCAAATCTCATCTTGAATTGCAGTCCCCAGGGACACAGCTGGCCGGAGGTGACTGGATCATGGGGGCGGTTCTCCCCATGCTGTTCTCGCGATAGTGAATAACTCTCACGAGATCTGATTTTTTTTTTTTTTTTTTTGCGACAGAGTTTTGTTGCCAAGGCTGGAGTGCAGTGGCGTGATCTTGGCTCACTGCAACCTCCACCTCCCGGGTTCAAGCGATTCTCCTGCCTCAGCCTCCCGAGTAGCTGGGATTACAGGTGCCTGCCACCACACCTGGTTAATTTTTGTATTTTTAGTAGAGATGGGTTTTCACCATGTTGGCCAGGCTGGTCTCGAACACCTGACCTCAGGTGATCCACCCTCCTCGGCCTCCCAAAGTGCAGGGGTTACAGGCGTGAGCCACTTCGCCCAGCGATCTGATGGTTTTATAAAGGGCAGTTGCCCCAGGCTCTCTCACACTCGCTGTCCTGCTGCCTTGTGAAGAAGGTGCCTGCTTCCCTCTTGCCTTCCGCCATGATTTTAAGTTTCCTGAGGCCTCCCCTGCCATATGGAACTGTGAGTCAGTTCAACCATTTTCCTTTGTAAACTACCCAGTCTCGGCTATTTCTTTATAGCAGTGTGAAAGTGAACCCACACGGCAAAATAAACTTTCTAAATGGATGGAGACCTGTCTCAGATACTTTTGAGTTCACACTTTCATCTGTGGGCTGTGGTGTAATAGCATCTTTTCAAGCCTCCCTGTGGAGGTGGGATCTTTTGGAGTGATTATTTATTTTTCTACGATGTGTAGCTTAATTTATGGTCTATGTACATTTTCCCCTTTGCAGCAGCTAACCTTCACTCATTTACTATAGTGATTTTTAGAATTTTTACTGTTTGTCAATAACTTCCTTTGCAAAGTGTTCCTGCTTTCTGGCATGACTTTTTTATTTTATTTATTTATCTTTTTTAGACAGAGTCTCGCTCTGTCACCAGGCTGGAGTGCAGTGGCATGATCTTGGCTCACTGCAACCTCTGCCTCCCGGGTTCAAGTGATTCTCCTGCCTTAGCCTCCCAAGAAGCTGGGACTACAGGCACACGCCACCAGGCCCAGCTAATTTTTGTATTTTTAGTAGAGACGGGGTTTCACCATGTTGGTCAGGCTGGTCTCGATCTCTTGACCTCATGGTCTGCCTGCCTTGGCCTCCCAAAGTGCTGGGATGACAGGTGTGAGCCATGGCGCCTGGTGTGATTTTTCTGTAACTACATCCTACTTATTCTGGACTAATGAGAAAATAGCAAGGGTGTCCATCTTCATCAACACTGCCTTGTTTGGACAGTTTGGTACAGGCTTCAAGGTTTCAGGCCTTAAGCTTTTGCAAATCACTTGCTCAGAAAAACTGGGGACAGCAGGCCCATTTATATTCATTTTAAACACTTGACAAGAGGAAGATGTCATTTTACAAAGGGTAAATGTTTCTTTGGGTTATGCTGATAGGTTACTGTTAGTGCTAATTTAAAAAGACATGGTGTGTCAAAATATGGCTAACTGGTTCTTATATATTTCTTGCTAATTCAGCCATGAATAAAATGGACTTGTACATATTGATACTTCTTATCTATTAAAGAAATCCACTCATTGTTTTAATCAGTATATAAATGTAATAAGTATTAGTTTTGGAAATACAAATTACAATAAAGAGGGAAACAGACCATGTGTTAATATCTTGGTAAATTTCCTTCCTGTTGGTTCTCCTGTGTGTCTGCCCAAGGCCATGCACTAGCAGCGTTTCCTATGTTTGATTCACACCTTGCATAACTTACACACACTCCAGAGGTGGGTTTTATTCCCATCTGTACTAGTTTTAGGTGCGGCTGGGAGACGTGGAAGGAGGGACATGGCATGGCCACCACTGGGCGGGAGAAGTGAGCCTGCTTCTCCAGGATCTGCCTCTCCTCGCCTGTGGACCCAGCTGCTGCTCCTGCTTCTCCAGGGCTGTGGACCCAGCTGTCTCCTGGGTTTTCCTTGGGGCTGATTTTCACATGAAGCTGCTAATTTGGTATAGGAACACTCGGGAGTTTTGGTTTTCATTTCAACATCATCCCCTCCCCACCCTGCCCCCAGATAATCCTGTAACTCCAGGTCTCTCACTCACCTGTACAAGGAAGGTTTTGAAGTGGAGGCTACCTCATGTCCTATCCCCTAAATATTTTCAGTAATATTTGTATCAATGGATTTTCTGAACCTTTAAAAACTAGAAATTCTCTCTCTCCACACAAAATATATATGCTGTACATACTATATATAGTCATAAAAATGTATATACAAAAATTAAAAGTATATGTAAAAAGGGGCTGGATGCGGTGGCTCACACCTGTAATCCCAGCACTTTGGGAGGCCGAGGCAGGTGGATCACCTGAGTTCAGGAGTTCGAGACCAGCCTGGCCAACATGGTGAAACCCCATCTCTACTAAAATTACAAAAATTAGCTAGGCATGGTGGTGGGCGCCTGTAATCCCAGCTACTTGGGAGGCTGAGGCAGGAGAATCGCTTGAAATCAGGAGGCAGAGGTTCAGTGAACTGAGATCGCACCACTGCACTCTAGCCTGGGCAACAAGAGCAAAACTCCATTTCAAAAAAAAAAAAAAAAAAAAAAAAAAAAAAAAAAAATATATATATATATATATATATATACACACACATATACGCAAAAAGGAGATTTTAATGAATATATAATTTTGTCAACTAAAAAATACAGAAAAAAAAGAATGGCTAAAAATTATTGGGTCTACAACTTTAGAAATTGAATAGTAGAACAAACCAAAAGTATATTGAAGGGAGAAAATAAAAATAAGGCCAGAATTAATAAAGCAGGAGATAGTAATTCCATGGGTACAAATGACAGAATGGATTTTGAAAAGACAGAAAAATTGGAAACCTCTAGCAAAATGATCAAAGGGAAAAAGAGACAGAGAAAAAGCATGGAGGTGCAGACCAACAATCTGAGACGTGACTTCAGAGTGTCCACGCAGGACCCCGCAGAAGTAGGTGAGTGTGGCCTTCCCAGGTGAAGGGGGCTTTGCAGATGTAAGGAGAGGATCTGAAGGGGGAGATTGTCCTGGATCGTGTGGGTGAGTCCAGTGTATTCCCAAGTGTTTTTGAAAGTAGAAGAGGAGGCAGAAGTGTTCAGGGGTGGGCGACAGCATATGGACTCAGCCCAGCATTGCTGCTTTGGAGGTGGGGAAGGGGCTGCAAGCCCAGGAGAGTGTAAAGTGCAAGGCAAGTCTTCTCCCTGGAGCCTCCAGATGGGAATGCAGCCCTGCCACTGCCATTTCAGCTCCGAGAGAGCCCTGCTAGATTGTGACCTGCAGATACACAACCACAGACAGTCAATTTGTGTTGTTTTTAAGACTAAGTTTGTGGCCGGGTGCACTGGCTCACATCTGAATCCCAGTACTTTGGAAGGCCGAGGCTGGAGGATCTCTCGAGCCCAGGAGTTTGAGGCCAGCCCTGGCAACATAGTGAGACTTTGTCTCTACAACAATAAAAATAAAAAATTAACCAGGCATGGTGGTGTGTGCCTAGTCCTAGCTACTTGGGAGGCCAAGGTGGAAGAATCTCTTGAGCCCAGGAGTTCAAGACCAGCTTGGGCAACATAGTGAGACCTCATCTCTACTAAAAATAAAATAAATTAGCCAGATGTGGTGGAGCACACCTGTGGTCCCAGCAGCTTGGAAGGCTGAGGTGGGACGATTGCTTGAGCCCAGCAGGTTGAGGCTGCAGTGAGCCATGTCCAGCCTGGATGGCAGAGGAAGACCCTGTCTCAAACAAACAAAAAAACCGAAGTTTGTGGTAATTTGTTAAGGAAGAAATAGAAAACTAATACAGGCATGTAAAGGAATCCATATCTATACGGGCAGCAGAAAGTAAAACAATAATATGACAAGCTCATAAGCAGCTCCATGGCAACACATTTGAAATCTTAGAATCAATGCACACATTCCTGCAAATATAGAAGTCCCCAGTACTGGCTGAAGAAACCTCAATAACTCTTCTTAAAAATTGAGTGAATAAAATTCTTCCAGCAAGAAAATGAAAGTTCCAGGTGCTTTTATGAGCTACTTCTATCAAAAATTTCAGGAAGAGAGAGTTTAAAATTTAAACAGACTCTTCCAGAGAGTAGCAAAAATTCAAATATTTGATGAGGTCAGTTTCAGCTTGGTGAGAACAGTATGAGACAGGGAAATGGCAAAACTCTCATTCATGAACAGAGATGGAAAAAAAGACTTCCAAAGTTAGCCAATCAAATACAGCAATTCTTTCAAAAATCTTTTACCTTGAATCTCCACATTACTACCTAAAGTAAAAAAAAAAAAAAATTATATGTTTATTCAATAACTGCAGAAAAGGCCTTTGATAAAAATCAAACCCCATTAATAATAAAACCTCCTAACATATTAGAAATGGAAGGGAACTCCCTTAATCTGATAAAGGGTATTTACACTCATATCAGATAAGCAAAATTTAACTCATAATACTCAGCCCAGTCGGTAGAAGTTTAAACAGTTTCAACTATTTGGAAAACAATTGGTGTCATCTGGGGAAACTGAAGATGTGGAGACCTAGTACCAGCAAATCCACTCTCAGACACACACCCTATGGAACGCATAAGCACATGATAAACATATATGTGAATGTTCACATCAGTATTGCTTATAATAGCCCTAAACCAGAAGTGACAGACATGTCCATCGGCGTGGTATATTCATGACTTAATTACTGTAGAGGAGTGAAAAAGAAGGAACGTATTGGGAACGACAAAGAAAGCCTCAGAAAAACACATGTAGTATGATACCAGTTGTATAAGATACCAAGAACGTGCAAAGCCACCAGGCGTGGTGTGGTGGGCCTATAGTCCCAGCACTTTGGGAGGCTGAGGTGGGCAGATTGCTTCAGTACGGGAGTTCAAGACCAACCTGGGCAACACAGCGAAACCCCATCTATAGAAATTAGCTGGGCATGGTGGTGCACACCTGTAGTCCCAGCTACTCGGAAGGCTGAGGTGGGAGGATCACCTGAGCTGAGGGAAGTCAAGGCTGCAGTGAGCTGTAATACCACACTGCACTCCAGCCTGGGCAACAGAGTGAGACCCTGCCTCAAAAACAAACAAACAAACAAAAAAACATGCAAATCTAAACATATACGAGAAAGACAAGCAGACACAGGCTGGGTTGAGACGTGGGTATTAGAGCAATAAACTAAAGCAAGGGATGATCAAACCCCAATTTAGGATACTCCAGGTACCACTGGGGATGGAGGAAGGGATGGAAGTATCCTGTTAATAGTCTGTGAAACTGAGTGATAGGTACAGGGTATACATCCTATTATTCTTCCTATCTGTGTGTGTGCTACATGGGTGATTCTGCACATGTGCAATAGGTCAGGAACTTTCATGATATGCTAACATGATCTCAGGTGAGATACTGGCATTATGCGCTTGGTTGAGTCAATTATGTGGTGCTTTATGGAACGAATGGCAAAGAAACCAAATAGCAAGATTTGTCTGCAATGAAACTTTAGATTGGTACACAGCCGTCTACTGGTTGGGCACTTTGAGCTCATGTATCTCAACTCATAGGCCTACGAGTTAAACACTTTATCCACAGCTATCCAGCTAGTTGAAGCGTGAAAATTAAGATTTGTATATCTTTTTATTTTCAGCCAGATGCACTTTTTTTTTTTTTTTTTGAGACAGGGTCTTGCTGTGTCACCCAGGCTGGAGTGCAGTGGTGCAATTATGGCTCACCACAGCCTGGAACTCCTGGGTCCAGGCGATTCTCCTGCCTCAGCCTCCAGAGTAGCTGGGACTACAGGTGTGCACCTTCATGCCCGGCTAATTTTTGTATTTTTTTGTACTGATGTAGACTCACTGTGTTGCCCAGGTTGGTCTCGAACTCCTGGGCTCAGGCAATCTGCCCGCTTTGGCCTCCCAAAGTGCTGGAATTACAGGCGTGAGCCACCGCGCCCAGCCCCAGATGCACATCTAAATATAGCAGGATGTTGCTTCTTATAAATACGAGTTAAGTTTCCTATGATTTCAACTAAGATATCCATGTCTGTTTTCAGAAGAGGAAATGCTTAGGAGGATTTAGAATTGATACCATTTCCCCTCGAAATAGTTTGCTAATATGGTTCGTGTTCTGTAACATGGAAGGCTTGTGTAAGTTTTACTCGGGAAGGAAATAGAAGGGATTTAAACAACGCCATTGTGAATATGGAGTGAGTCAGAGTCTTTCTACAAATGCTTGAAAATCTTGGCTGGGTCCAACCCAGCGGTGGCCAATATTGTGGAAATACAAAGGGCGAGTCTGTTTGGTTTTGAGAATAGCTTCCTGGTGGTCTGTTTGTTAAATATTTCAGTTCTATCAGAATTAAATTTGAGGACAATTAGGTGAAAATTGAAAAAAGTTGTTAAAATGTTTAATTATGCCTGTGATAGAAGAACGGAATGCACCGGTATGAAAAGCATGCCAACAGCACAGGCACCTTCTGGGGAGCAGCTGCACATGGAGCCCCTGACTCCAGACGGCTGCCTGCAGGCCGCGTGTGGAGGCCGCGTGTGGAGGCCGTGAGTGGAGGCCGCGAGTGAGGAAAACTCCCCGGCAGCGTCGCTCTGACTCACACGAAACCTGCCAAAGCCATAGGCCCATGCATTTGGAATAAGTAATATAAAATAAGGTTTCTATACCCGAAAGTAAACCAAAGGGAAAAGTATTACAGAGTAATATAATTGAATAAAAAATCATTTAAAATTTCTATTAAACATTGGTGATCAAAAAAAGATAAGTGGGCCAGGCACAGTGGCTCATGCCTGTAATCCCAGCACTTTGGGAGGCTGAGGTGGGCGGATCACCTAAGGTCAGGAGTTCGAGACCAGCCTGGCCAACATGGTGAAACCTCATCTCTACTAATAATACAAAAAAATTAGCCTGGTGTGGTGGTGGGTGCCTGTAATCCCAGCTACTCAGGAGGCTGAGGTAGGAGAATCGCTTGAACCCTGGAGGCGAAGGTTGCAGTGAGCCGAGATTGTGTCATTGCACTCCAGCCTGGGCGATGAAAGCGCAACTCTGTCTCAAAAAAAAAAAAAAAAAAAAAAAAAAAAAAAACCTGCCAAAGCCACAGGCCCATGCATTTGGAATGATAAGTAATACAAAACAAGGCTTCTATACCCAAAGTTAAACCAAACAGAAAAGTAATACATAATAATATAAATAAGAAATCATTTAAAAATTTCTATTAAAGATCGATGCTCAAAAAAAGTAAGTGTAATTAGGAAGAGTGAAGAGGAAAGACTTTAGCAGAACCTGAAAGAGACTGGCAGGGTCGACAGAGGAACTTCAAGGTTCGGACTGTTACTTTCACCTGTTGGAGAACTTCATAAATGAGGATGCACGGTGTGAACTCGTGTGTCTCACTCCTTGCACTTGGCGTCATATTTTGAGATGTTTCCATGTTGTTCTTTTTCACTGCTGAGTACCATTCCATTGTATGACCGTAGCACGATGTGTTTATCTATTTACCTACCGATGCGTTGTTACCAGTGGGGCTATTTTGAATAAAGCTGCTAAGAACTTTCTTGTTCTTAAAACATAAATTTTATTACTTGGTGCGAACACCTAGGAGTAGAGTTTCTGGGTCGTGTGCTTACTTTGTAAGGGACTGTAAACTCTTTTTCAAATAAAACGTATTACTTTACACTCCCATAAGCAACATTTAAGAATTCCAGTGATTCTGTGGCCCTGCCAACACTTTGTATTGTCAAACTTTTTAACTGTATCATTCTAGTGGGTAAACAGCTCGTTTTAATTAAATTAAGGGTAGGGTCATTTTCAGAGGATCACAAACAGAACAAAGAGAGGGAAACAAGATCAGAGTTCTTAAGGGAATTAAGAAAAATAAGAAAGATGATTGAGAAAAACTAAGGACACGGTACCCGCATTGTCCCTTAGGGGGATGAAAAGGAGTGTTCAGCAGAAATCAGTCTGATGTTCCTCTACGTGCTGTAGGTAGAGGCATTGGCCCAGCGGAGCGAAAACCATGTGGAACAGGTGGAGTGAGAGGTAACTTAGCGGAGGCGTGCAGGGCCCACCGTTTGTACCGGCTGCTCGAGCGTTACGTATCCATTAGGACTCGTACGATCCCATTCTAATCAACCACTGGCCTTCCTACTTGCAGCACATACATCCTAGAAATCTGAAGAGAATAAATATTTTTATATAAAACTTTTGAAATATTTGAAATATTTCTTAAAATGTCATGCCATCTGCTGATGTGGTCCCGTGGGAAAGACGGAAACCAAGAGTTATATGATTCAGGCTTCCCTCAATCTCTGCAGACCACAGAACAAACTGGGGAGAGATGAACAACAAGCCGGCCCACCCGCTGCTGCAGGAACTCACGTTTCTGAGAGCCTTGCCCTTAGTCCGCGTAGTGGGAGGGAAGCCTTGCAGGTTCCTGAGATTCCATATGGCTCCAGGTGTGCATTCTGTAGAGTCGGGCTGGCGGCCTAGCAGAGAATGCGACTGGAAGGAGAAAACGGGGGAAAACGGGGGGGAAAGCAGAGGAGTCATCCCAGCACGGACCCCGAAACCTAGGCAGGGTGGCAAATGGCAGGGGCGGAGAAGGGGCGGATGTGGGAAAACTTGCCCAGCCCAAGGGGATGCCCTGCAGCAGCGAATGGCTGGGACAAGTCCAGCGGGGACAGAGAGCAGCCTAAGGGCCACCCCAGGTTCACGCAGGCCCAGGGGGAGGCCTCTGCAGAGGGAAGGGTCACGAGGCCAGAGAACATGGAGGGCACACAGCGGGGTGAGAAGCAGACACAGCCACGGTGTCCTCGCTCAGGTGCTCTGCAGACTCAGACCCAGAGTCCAGAATTCACACGGACCTGTGTCTAGGGAACAGTCCCCGAGAAGCTACCAGTGGGGGGAAGAGGGGGTGAGGAAGGGGAGGAGGCCACACGGCTGCATCTTTAGGGAGTCCCGGCCCAGCTGGACCCTCAGAGGGTTCTACAGCACGAACTTCACCTGCCCGAGACCCCTCATATCAGCCCCCAGGCTCTCCACACCTGAGCCCCTCAGCCATGGATATGGGAGACCCAGCTCTAGCAATGGGCAAAGTGTCCCCACAGCCCAAGGACAGACCCCAGACCAAAGATGAGGAGGGCGGCTTTCAGGAAAAAAGAAAAAAACTGTAGGATGGGCGACGACACGGGAGAAGATCCCGGGATGGAGGGGAGACCCCACTAGGGGATGGAGGGGAACCCCCACTGGAGGAGAGACAGGGAGCTGTGAGGGATCCTGGGATGGAGGGGAGCCCACACTGGGTGATGGACAGGGAGATATGAGGGGTCCTGCGATGGAGGGGAGACCACACTGGAGGATGGACAGGGAGATGTGAGGGGGTCCTGGGATGGAGGGGAGCCCACACTGGAAGATGGACAGGGAGCTGTGAGGGGTCCTGGGATGGAGGGGAGCCCACACTGGAAGATGGACAGGGAGCTGTGAGGGGTCCTGGGATGGAGGGGAGCCCACACTGGGTGATGGACAGGGAGCTGTGAGGGGTCCTGGGATGGAGGGGAGCCCACACTGGAGGATGGACAGGGAGCTGTGAGGGGTCCTGCGATGGAGGGGAGACCACACTGGAGCATGGGCACAGGGGACTCTGAGGGGATCCTAGGGCAGGGGGAGCATGACTGGCCGTCTTTGAAAGGAGTTTTGAACATTTTCAGTGGAGTTTGTTGTGCTTGTGAATTTTGTGCCTGTTTTGAACTAGCAATAGAATCACAGGTAAACTCTGCACATCACAGGACTGCTGTGGCCTTGAGCAGGAAGAGGACTGTGTCCCCTGTGAACAGAGCTGAGGAGCTGTTATACAGCACGTTGGTTTCCCTTCAGATAAGCGTGCCCATTCAGCCTGCATGTTTCTGGATACAGTTGGACCCAGCACCATATTTTCCGTCCCTCTCTGACTATTTTTCATCTTCTTACTCTCCTCCCGTATCTAGTAACATTATGCCTTATGAATTTCCCACGTCCCTCCTCATGTGGTCCCGCATCCTACATCTTTCCTTGCCCTTGTTCCCTTGTAAACCTACCTGTCCTCGAAGCTCTTCCTAAATGGTCCTCAAATGACTAGTGTGGATCTGGCCAACTGCTGGTGTTCAGCTGTGTGCGTTATAAATGCGGGACTTCAGGAAACACCCTTACGTTATAACTGAGGCTTTCAGTGCTTTAACCAGGAGTAACAGGGAACTTCAGGCCAGTGGGTCAGAAGGACGGAAGACTCACCTACACAGGCGTGTTTTGGGTGTGGGGCACTCTCCCCTGTGGCCCTCAAATCATGGCCCATCCTGGCCACGTGTCCTGCTATGCACTGACCCCTCCCCACGCTCTCCTATATGCTGAGGGCTAGAGCATGTTCCGAACGCCAGGTCCCCAGTGCAGGAGAGAGCCCTGGATGTCACCACCAGAGCCCCTCCCCCGCCCCACCCGGGCCCCACTCCTCCCCCACCGGGCCCCACCCCACTCCCCCACCCCCTGCCCCACTCCCCAACCTCCTGCCCCCCTCCCCGACCCCTGTTCCTTCCCCCCCGCCCCCCCCCACCCCACTCCCTCCCGCCCCTGGTTTCTGCATTGACACTCCTTCCAGCCCTGCCACTGACCTCTGAGCTGTGCTGGCAGAGGCTGGCTCTAGATGACGGAGGGGAAGGACAGGGGGCAGGATGGAGGGAGGTGCTGGTGGGGCCTGCCCCACATGAGAGTCGTGGCCCTCCCTGGGCCTTAGGTGAGCCCCCGCAAAGGGGAAGCATTTAAAGGGAAGCACTTCCTCCATCCTCCCTCACCACGTCCTGAGCTGGGTCATTCACTTCCTCCATCCTCCCCTAGCACCTCCTGAGCTGGGTCATTCACTTCCTCCATCCTCCCCTAGCACCTCCTGAGCTGGGTCATTAGGAGAGTGGCATTCCCTTCTTCCAGTTCGCTCCTCTTCACTTCTCCCTCCCATTTGAGCAAAGCAAGAAAACAGGCTTAGTTGTTGCAAGAGCTCTGGAAACAAAAACATCACTGTTTTCCTCCTGGAACAATGCTTCCTTCTCCCCCACCGCATTCATGCTGACTCCTTTGAAACAGAGGAACAGTGTTAAGCCTCTGGATCTTTTCTGGGTGCCTCCAGCCTCCTCTCTGCTGCTTCTCTTTTTTACCTTTCCTCTCCTCTGCCCCTCTTTTGCCTTTGGCCTGCCCTCCATCAAACGGGGGATGGATGGAGCGGGCATGGGAATCAGACATGTTTCAGGCAAGCCACCTACAGGGCCCGTCTTGGGAAGGCCGGCTGTCCGTGCTGGCTGCTCTTCGGACACAGGCATCGTATAATTTCCCTCTTTTCACTCCTTCCTTAATGACCACCTTCTACTTACCAAGGTGCATTTCTATTTTTGTTTTGTTTTGTTTTTGAGAGAGTCTCACTTTGACGCCCAGGCTGGAGGGCAGTGGTGCCATCATAGCTCGCTGTGGCCTCACGCTCTTGGGCCCAAGTGATCCCCCAGCCCCAGCCTCCCAAGTAGCTGGGACCATAGGTGCACGCCACCAGGCTCAGCTATTTTATTTATGTATTAATTTTTTTGTAGAGGCGAGTCTTGCCATGATGGCCAGGTTGGTTCAAGGTGCATTTCTAATTCAGCAGACCAGACTAGTGTGAGTGAACCCCTAGAGACACACTGCAATGCTCGTTTATGTAGCTAGGGACAAGCCTCTGTTTCAGCCAGACCATCCGCTCTAGGCTCTCCAGCCGGGAAGGCAAGACCCCAAGGCCACTGAATGCCCCGTGAGATGTGGGTGTTGGCATCTATGCTGGGAGCCCTCGCTGTGTGGACTGGACTATCTCTTAGCTTGGGATGAGAGGAGGACCATGCTCACGTAGGGAAGCCGAGTGTGCCGAGTGTGTGTTCTGTCTGCCCCTCCACTTTCCCTTCTTCTGCAATCCGTTTTCCTGGTGACATCTACCCACTGTTTTCTCCCACCGAAATGTCCGCAGTGTGTTCCTCAGCCTGTTTGTGTTGCTAGAAAGGAACACCTGAGGTTAGGTAATTTATAAAGAAAAGAGGTTTATTTGGCCCCTTTTTGTACTAGAAGCATGGCGCCAGCACCTGCACCTGGGGAGGGGCTCAGGCTGCTTCCACTCACGGTGGAAGGGGAAGAGGAGCCGGCACGCGGAGAGATCAGAGAGAGAAAGTGGCAGGAGGCGGCCAGGCGCGGTGGCTCATGCCTGTAATCCCAGCACTTTGGGAGGCCTAGACAGGAGGATCACCCGAGGTCAGGAGTTTGAGATGAGCCTGGGCAACATGGCACGACCTCATTACTACTAAACATACACAAATTAGCCAGGTGTGGTGGTAAATGCCTGTAATCCCAGCTACTTGGGAGGTTGAGGCAGGAGAATTGCTTGAACACAGAGGTGGAGGTTGCAGTGAGCTCAGATCGTGCCACTGTACTACAGCCTGGGCGACAGAGCAAGACACCAAGACTCCGTCGAAAGAAACAGAAAGGAAGGAAGGAAGGAGAGAGTGAGAGAAAGAGAAAGAAAAGAAAGAAGGAAAGAAAGAAAGAAAGAAAGAAAGAAAGAAAGAAAGAAAGAAAGAAAGAAAGAAAGAAGGGAGGGAGGGAGGGAGGGAGGGAGGGAGGGAGGGAGGAAGGAAGGAAAGAAAGAAAAGAAAGGAAGCATGGGGGAGGTGCCAGGCTCTTTTTAGCATCCAGCTTTCACAGAACTAATACAGCAAGAAGTCACTCACAGCCCCTCCATTAATCTATTCACGAGGGACCCACCCCCATAACGCAGACACTTCCAACCAGGAGGCACCTCCAACACGGGATACAATTTCAACATGAGATTTGGAGCGGACACACATGCAGGCCATGGCGGCGTTCTAACGAGATGGGGTGCAGCGTTCTAACCAGACGGGGTGCAGCGTTCTAACGAGACGGGGTGCAGCGTTCTAACGAGACGGGGTGCAGCGTTCTAACCAGATGGGGTGCAGCGTTCTAACGAGATGGGGTGCAGCGTTCTAACCAGATGGGGTGCAGCGTTCTAACGAGATGGGGTGCAGCGTTCTAACGAGATGGGGTGCAGCGTTCTAACCAGATGGGGTGCAGCGTTCTAACGAGATGGGGTGCAGCGTTCTAACCAGATGGGGTGCAGCGTTCTAACGAGACGGGGTGCAGCTTTCTAACGAAATGGGGTGCAGCGTTCTAACGAGACGGGGTGCAGCGTTCTAACGAGACGGGTGCAGCGTTCTAACGAGATGGGGTGCAGCGTTCTAACGAGACGGGGTGCAGCGTTCTAACGAGACGGGGTGCAGCGTTCTAACGAGACGGGGTGCAGCGT